>NC_000021.9:7743700-7865746 GCF_000001405.40 Homo sapiens
AAACCTCATAGATCCACTCCCACCAAACCTGGGCTTTTCACTTTCAACCCAGCAACTGAAAATGCCAGTTCAAACAACTTGCTGTTTTTTTCTACCCCACTTGCTTTTAGAGTTCCTTCTGCCTGTTTTATTGGCTCCATATAACCTGAATACCACTTATTTCTTAAAGCATAGCTCAGATGCTATTTTAAAAGGAGCCCAGGATAGTGGCTGATTTGATAGAATCTATACCCAGATTACCCAGGGTCAAGTCCCAGCTCTGGTACCTGCGGCCTTTAAAACCACGAAAAAATTACTTTAATCTCTGTGTCTCCATTTCCTCATTTGTGAAATGGTTATCATTATAGCACGTCCCTTACAGCCTTGTTATGAGACTTAGGCAATAGCCACTAGTGCTTAGAACAAAGCTATTTTTGTAACTTTCTCCAGGAACACTTCCCTTAACAGAACCAACCCCTCCACCCCTCAGTTTGTTCTTCCCTCCACACCCTCTAACATTCTAACATAACCACAAAGAGTCCTGATGGGATTTGGAGTTACACTGCCTGGGTTCGAATCTCAATTCCGCCACTGCCATTCGCGCGTTTTCTATTGCCAGCCACCTTACTCTCCCCTGGCCTCAGTTTCCTCATCCTTAGAAGGGGAGCAGAGCACATGGTGGTAACTCCCTGCACATTCCTCTCTTTCCTTGTATTGGGTGCCCAGTTTGTGCCCTCACATGGCGCTAGCACTGAGTGGGCTCAAACTCTGTACGCGTTTACTAAGCATATTGACTGAAGAAATCTGGAAACCTAGTACCGCGGCACCATATCGTTACCCCAAAGGAAAATGCATGCACGCTGTCAGAGATGACGAACACTGCGTCTGGAAACTTCTTAAGGGCACCCACGTGTCCTCAGCTGCAGACAGCAGCGAGGAGACACCCAGGGAATTCGAGACAGCGGAAGGCGGAAGGGTCCCGCAACAACCCACCCTCCAGCTCAGGTGAGTTCAGAGTGAGAACGCACCGCCAGGCTTGGACAAAGGCACCCGGCCTACACCCCAGCGGCTCCCCGCCGGGGCCTACGTGGACTTCAGCCTCCAGCCACAGGGACAAGAGCTGCTGGCCAGGGCTGCCCGCCTGGGCTCACTGCGCCTGCGCAGTGAGCAGCGCGCCCCAGGTCTTCTGCCCGGGCCCACTGCGCCTGCGCACGGAGTAGTGCACTCTCGTCGGCGGCACCGGCCCACTGCGCCTGAGCACGTAGCGGTGCATTTCGGGACCTGTAGTTTTCCCCGGCAGGACGGTAGAAGTCGTGGTTTGTGCGCGGCCAGGCGCTGGAGCCTCCGCTGCCGGGAGCAGTAAGTGTGTGACGTCGGGGTAGAAGGGAGTGACCCAAATTCCAAAAGCTCTTTGGGATGCTGCGATGTCGCGGCCGGCCCCGCGCTCGGGTTTTCCCTCCTAGACAAAAGTCTGCCGGCTCCCGGTCGCGCCGGGTCGGGGATCCGGAAGGTGAAGGCCGCCAGGCCCCACCTGCGGGGCGCCCCTGCTGGACCTGGCCGTCGGGCGCCGTCAACCCGTTGAGCAGCGTGTTCCGGCTGGCACGTGGCCCGGGCGGGGCCCAGGATTGGTTCAAGCCTACGGTGTTGGTCCCCGGAGAGTCTAGGGAGACAAGCAATCCCCTGGAATGGTGGGGGAAGCGATGACAGCCCCTGGTCCTCATCCGCAGCTCTGGGGGAAGTCGGGGGGTGGGGAGGGCGGGTGTTGCTCCCTGAGTGTTGGGGGAAGGGTATGGGGAGAGGACCCTGAACTAGCCCCCAGGTTACCCAGGAGGAGCTGAGGCCCAGAGAGGTTCAGCGACTCGCCCAGGGTTGCACAGCGAGCACAGGCACCGACGTCGCCCTCCGAGGCCTGGGCTTCCAGCAGGGAGAGACCCGGACACCTGTCATCGCTTCTCGGTGGATCCCTGAAATGTTGAGTTGTGGAGTCTGGGCAGCTGAGATCGGGCAGGGCTGGTTTCTTGTAGGCCCAGGCTTCCGTGTAGAGGGCCAAGTGATGCCCAAGGTTCACCTGGCAGCCCCCTCTCTGGACCTACCCCTCCTTATGATTGGGTGAAGGGTTGGGTGAAAAGGGTAGAGGCCGGGAATGAGAACAGCTTCAGAAAGCTCAGACAAAGGGCGCAGCATGATTCGTGGCTGGAAGGAGACAGCAAGCGATAGACTGATCCTTGAATTTGTTAGTGTGCCAAGAAGAAAAAGTATTAATAGATTGTGGACGACACATTATCCATATTGCTTTAGTTGGTCTAACCAAAATAAGCGAATAGCTTTTTTGTTTCTAAGAGAAACCTGACAAAGGAAGACAGGGTATTTTTGCGGTGAAGGAAATAGAAATATTTGGAGTTGTATCTAAGCCACTTGTTACTTTTGTGTTTTAAGCTAAGATCATGGATAGGTCCAGGGAAAGTTAAAAATTTCCCGCACTTCTTAGATTTTATGCCCCTCAAAAACATCCCCACCTTGTTGGCTTTTGCAGTTCAACCTTCAGATACCAGCTCCCTCGTTTCTAATATTGCATTAGGTGTACATATGGCAGCAGAGCAAATAGCTTACTGATACTTTTAGCTTTTTTCTTCTCATTTGCAAAAGACTCTATGAAAATGGCTGGCTTGGGCATGTAATTGAAGGGAGGTGGGGAAAAGTGGTAATTCAGAGGCAGTGGGTGGGAATGAGCAAAGCATGTCAGTGTGGTTCACCCTCTTGACTCCCACCTCACCACAGCCCTTCTGCTACAATTGCAGATTGACTCTAAATATGTTTCTTTCCTAAAGAGCTTGAATTTTATCACTCCAGGTATGAAGTTGAGGCAGCTGCCAGTATATTTTGGCAGTCAGGTTCTGTGATATCAGAGAGGATGGTGAATTGTGAATTCCAGAGTTGCAGAATTGTTCTTTAGATTCTGATTTTTTAAATGACAGCACTTTGGTTTGGAGGGTTAATGACTTACCCCAGGTCATATGCCACACCATGGGTAACACCAAGAGTAGAGCTCAGATCTCCAGTTGTCCTGGTCCTCAGGCTACTGATCTTTATTCCCTGCCCTGCTATCTTGGAATGACTGCATTTTGCCCTGGATGTCGCTAGCCTGTATCCTTCAGGTTGGCATGTCCAGTCATGGAAGGAGAGAGATTTAACATAACAACAATGGCTGACATTCAGTGCTTTCTGTGTGCTGGCCATGGTGCTTAGTGTTTACAGTCTAATCTGCAAGAGAATTTACAGATGGGCAAGTTGAGGCTGAGAGAGGCCAAGTAACTTGTCCAAGGTCACACTGCTAGTGAACATAGCACATGTTTTCCAGAGGGCCAGACCACTGGATGTTTTTTCATTCATTTCCTCCTGTAGGATCGTTGGACCTATTTCTCGTTCTTGACTTTGGGAATCAATATTCTACGTACATCAATTCACTGGGTATGCAGTTTTGCCTCTGAAAATTTTGAGGGAACAGCCAGACTCATCTACTGTATTTGTATACAACTCAATTAAAGCAGGAATTGTAAAAATAAAATTTGTAAGATCTTTAACATTTTAATATACAACATTAGCTAATCACTAAGATTACTAGAGATACTCAAAGTGAAAATTGTAGCAACAGGTTATAACATGTTAGGAGCATATTTCTTTAGGGCAGTCAGAATCTGCTGCTTCTTAAAGACAAGTGGGCCATTTACACATGAAGGTAACAAGCACATTCAGCCACCATCATTATAGTTAAACAGATCTATGATTTAAATTCCTATCGCTACCTTATCTGACTTTGAAAAAGTCATGGGGAAAACTTGGCTACCTTGTGCCAACTGCTAGCTTGTTTTCAAGATATTATAATCTTGAATAGATGGAGGATGAACTTTTTATACTTAGATAGCTTTGTAATTGAAAGTTTGTATAAAAACATCTTGCCTGAAGTTCATCTTATCCCCATTCTATCTAAAGGCCTTTGAAATTTTCAGCCACTTTTCTTAATTATGACGGTAAGTACATTTCAAGAGAAGTGTTTCCCTGACTTTTGAATGCAAAGCTCTCTGCCTGTGTCAGGATGGTGCCGAGGTTAAAGCCCTGGAGCCAGACTGGATGGGTTCGAATCCCAGGCCCACCTGCGAGACCCTCGATGTGTTACTTAAATTTTATTTCCTCCTCTCTAAAGTGGAGGCAGTAAGCTGTTTTATGGGGTAGTTGTGAGGGCTAAATGTCTTAACTCATCTAAGCACTTTAGCCACTTTTTTCCATCTGACACAAAAAAGTTAAGCTATGATTATTGTGCTATAAAGCATTGGATTTCAGAAGAAGTAGGGGCACTAAACACCATCTGCTTGACACCTTTCTTCACTTACAGATGGGACTGAAGCTCTAGAGGGAAGTCACTTACCAGAGGGTGTAGGTTCTTCATCCAGAGCTGAAGTCTTCTTGGGGTTATGTGTCATATTCTAAGAGTAGGGACCTACAAGGCCTTGGAGCGAATCCCAAGGCTCGGGCTGCCAGCCCTGCCTTCTCATTTCCATATGCCATGGTGTGGCATATGACCTGGGGTAATATCCTCTGAACCAAAGTGCTGTCATTTAAAAAATCAGAATCTAAAGAACAATTCTGCAACTCTGGAATTCACAATTCACCATCCTCTCTGATATCACTTCCTTCCCTACCTTCTACTAGGTCTCCCTCAAGCTTTAGAGAAAATTCTGCCTCTGAATTATTGCATCTGACAATTTTTCTGCCCTGTCACTTATTCCCTTGCTCCCAGATAATCTTCGAAAAACCAAGATGAGTTTAATTAACACTCAGAGGACTTGACAAAGACACTCACTCCCAAACCAGCTTGCGTTTAGGTCTGGAGGCAGGTGGAGGGACAGATTTTAGACTTGGGCCCTTAGGTTCACAGATGAATGGGATGGGAGCCCATGTCCCCTCAGAAGCGGCGCTGTGCTGCTGGCGGCTACAGACAGCTGGTGAGGAGAGCTTTCTGCTTAGCAAGGGCCAGGCCCGTCTGGGCCCTCGCCCAGCCCATCCACTTCCCACCAGTCTCTCAATCGCCTTGTCAGGACACAGCCCACCTCTCTGTGGAGCTCACTTTCTGTTCACATTCCCTCTCTCCATCAAAGAGACATCTTTCTAAGGTGGTCTGCCCTAGGAACTCCAAATTGACCTGCTTCTTTCTTCCTGCCCAGATCAGACCTTCCAGCTGCCTCTCATGTACTTGTCTGTTGGGGGCTTGTGTTGATCAGGAGTGAATTCACAGTCTACCATGAATTGGAAGGTGAGTATCGTTTTAAATATTTATGGCTTGGGGTTTTTTCTTCCTCCTGATTGTGAAAATTCAGAATAACAGTTCTACACCAGTAGCTTGATTAAAAAGAAAAAGTAGGTGAAAGCATAATATTTATGTTTCATTTTAAGTTAAAACATAAATGTACATTTATTCGCTGGACTTCTGGAAGAAGGCCAGGCCTTTTCTTCGAGTGTGCATTCACTAACTTCAAATCTTCCTCACTTTTCTTACAAAAACTATACCTTTAAAGCTTTACCTGCAATTTTGCATTGTGCTTTCTTTTTTTACACATTTTTTTTGTAGAGATAGGGCTCCACTATGTTGCCCAGGCTGGTCTTGAACTCCTGGGCTCAAGCAGTCCTCCTGCCTGAGCCTCCCAAAGTGTCGGGATTACAAGAATGAACCACTGTGCTCAGGCCGTTTTGGTTCCTTTAAAGTAGATGCAGTGGACTGAATGTTTGTGTTTCCCCAAGTTCATATGTTGCAACCGTAGTGCCCAGTGTGATGATATTTGGAGTTGGAGCTTGTAAGAGGTAATTAGGTGATGAGGCTGGAGCCCTAATGTTTGGAATAGTGAGCTTATTAAAAGGGCTCCAGGGAGCTCTCTTACCCTCTTTCTGCCATGTTGGGGGTACAACAAGAAGCCAGCCGTCAGCAGCCTGGAAGAGGACTCCGCTAGAACCCCCCTGTACTGCGCCCTGATCCTCAGGCTTTCAGCCTTTCGAACTGTGACAAGTACCTCTTTAATAAGTCACCCAGTCTGTGGTCCTTTGTTCTAGGAGCTGAATTGACTAAGACAGTGGATTAAGATCTTATGAGCAGTGCATACACAAAATCTTTCCAGTGTTTCATACTCTTTCCTAATCTTTTACAGTTGACTTGCCAACAGCATTTTTTTTCCAACGCAAACTTGAGTCTTTCAAAGTATTCAACTTAGTTTTCATAAAAACTTTTGCTTTACACAGTCATATTTCACAAGCGTAATGTTTAAATAAGTTATGGAACATAGTATCAAGTACAACTTAAATAAACTGCTTGGCGAGTAAACACACCTGACCCCTGTGAAACATTAGATTCAGCTGGTGGGAGCAGAAGTTCAAGGGCAGCCAGAGAGTAGGTCAGCAATCAGGTTCCACCGAGGGAAAGGAGAATGTCATCTTAAGTCCCGGAAGTCAATAAGGTGAGGTGGAGGTTGTTTAAGAGAGCAGCCACTAAAATATATTATAGTCACTTTGCAAAGTCTAATATCAAGCAAAAATCATACATTGTCTCACCATCTAGAAATGGCTACTATTAACAATCTCGGTATATTCATCTTTTTCTGTATATATGTGTGGCGTGTTTTCATGCATAGGATCTTATTTTACGTGTTTTTTCAATTATTATAAGCATTTTCTTCAAAACATCCAGTGGTTTTCTATTGCAAGGAGAAACTGGAAAGGTCTGGAAGCAGGATCAGGGAGCCAGGAAGGTAGCTTTCCCATCTTCCCCAGCTGTGTGGGGTGAGGGGCTCGGCAGGCCCTGCAGGAGGGCTGAGGGCCCAGGAACTTGTGTAAGTTAAAGATGGCAGAGTGAGTGAGCTGTGAAGGGTGGGAAGATATAGAACAGTTTGTTTAGCATGCCTTGAGGATCAGAGCTCACAGTGGAAAGGTTGGGAAGGAAAGAAGAGGCAGTGAGAGGATGGAGAGGGGAAGGAGCGGAAAGCAGTGTGGGGTGAGGTTTAGGGAGGTCATTCGCCCACTGCAGTGGCTAAGTCAGTAGAGGAGAGAGGCAGTAACTGGTACTAAGGGCCAGGGTTCAAAGCATTAAACCTCATGCCTCAAGGTGGTGTTTCTCACTCCTGAGCACTAGTTAAGGCAAGGATTTCGAGCCCCACTCCCAGAGTTTCTGATTGGGTAGATCTGGCTGGGGCCTGAGAATTTGCACTTCTTATAAGTTCCAGGCGGTGCTGGTGCACACTGGTCGAAGGCAATGCGTGGGAAGTTTTCCTCTTTAATTGTAGAGTGACACCAACCCATGTGACCACTCGGGCCAGTCTTGCTTGTGACAGTTTTTTCTGCCATCAGGAACAAAGTCTGCCCAAACCTTCCCAGCTTCTGCACCAGGGAAGTGGCTACCAGGGAGCAGCTTCGTGTTTAAACACAGCCCCATCTCGTGTAGTGTTAGAAAGGAATGGCCGCAGGCCGGGCGTGGTGGCTCATGCCTGTAATCCCAGCACTTTGGGAGGCCGAGGCAGGCAGATCACTTTGAGCTCAGGAGTTTGAGACCAGCCTGGACAATGTGGCGAAACCCCGTCTCTACAAAAAAATACAAAGATTAGCTGGGCATGGAGATGCGTACGTGTAGTCCCAGCTACTCGGGAAGCTGAGGCTGGAGAATTGCTTGAGCCTGGGAAGTGGAGGTTGCAGTGAGCCGAGATCATGCCCCTGCACTCCAGCCTGGGCGACAGAGTGAGACCCTGTCTCAAAAGAAAAAAAAAAGAAAGACAGTCATGGCCCTGATTGCAGAGAGCTGCAGAAGGTGGAAGGTTCAGTAGCCCCCAGTGCGTCTGGTGGCCTTCCCCCTCTGGCTCAGTGGGCCATGGCCGGCAGCGACAGTCAACAGTGCTACCTGTGCGTTAGCAACAAGTATGGCCTCATTATTTAAAAACTTAGTTATTCCCATTTCACAGATATTGGGGTTTTGTTTTTAAAAATTGATGTAGATCTAGGCCAGGCATGGTGGCTCACCCCTGTAATCCTAGCACTTTGGGAGGCTGAGGTGGGCAGATCACATGAACCCAGGAGTTCAGCACCAGCCTGGGCAACATAGTGGGACCCCAGCTCTACAAAAAATCAGAAAAAATTAGCTGGGCGTGGTGTCATGTGTCTGTAGTCCCGTCTACTCGGGAGGCTGAGGTGGGAGGATTGCTTGAGCCTGGGAGGTCAGGGCTGTGGGAAGCCGTGATCATGCCACTGTACTCCAGCCTAGTTGGAGTCTCAAAAAAATATTCATATAGATCCAGTCCACCCTGGCAGCATTCATTTTCCTCCCTGAAGGTCTGTATGTTTCAAGAGATGTAAGGGGTTTGTTAAAAGGAAATTGGAGGAAGGGGTTTCATACCACTGAAGGTTAGTGCCTAAGAGAGGGGCAGGAAGGGGGCCCTGGAGCTCTTCGCTTTACCCTGTGAATGTTCTTGACCTCTGCTGCCCTTGTGCTGCGTCCTTCTCAGTCCACACTTCTGCCTCTTGCCGTGCGTCTCCACTGCCTGTAAAACAAAGTGAACACTGAAGCCTCCCACTAGGGTCCATTGGCTGATGCGTTTCCATTTCCATGGGTTTTCTAACTTCTGGATGAGAGAGTACATTCCTGCAATTGCTAAAGCTAAGTTTCCTATCTGGATTGTAGACAGCTATGGGCAGTAACATGGGCTTTGTTATATTAGTAATAGGGCCCCGGCCAGGTGCAGTGGCTCACACCTGTAATCCTAGCACTTTGGGAGGCCGAGGTGGGCGGATCACGAGGTCGGGAGTTGGAGACCAGCCGGCCAACATGGTGAAACCCTGTCTCTACTAAAAATACAAAAAATTAGCTGGGCATGATGCCGCATGCCTGTAATCCCAGCTACTTGGGAGGCTGAGGCAGGAGAATTGCTTGAACCCAGGAGGTGGAGGTTGCAGTGAGCTGAGATGGTGCCATTGCACTCCAGCCTGGGTGACAGAGCAAGACTCTGTCTCGAGAAAAATAATAATAATAATAGGGCCCCATAGGTTTATTCAGAGAGACTGAGAAAGCTGGAAGAGATTAGCTTTTCCCAGTGTGAGTCATTGCCTCAGGTAGCCTGGAAAATCCTAGCAAACAAAAAGAAGTTTATACAACAACATTCTTTTCATAGCTGGTTTGTATGCATGGCGTCAAACCTTCACCTCTAAAATGTGAACCTTCAAGAAAACAGGATTTCAGGGTTTACTGGAGGGAGGGGATTAGCCTAGGTCTGAGGGAAGAAGAACCTGGAAATGAAGTCAGTGTTTAAAGCTCCTTATATTTACCAGAGTAAAAAGTTGAAAAGTTTCACTTTTGGAACTTTTTAGTCTTTTGTACTGATGCCAGAGTGATCTTTCTGAAGTGTATGTGTTGTGCTTATTCTTTACTGTTAAAACGATATCATGGTTGAAAACTATTAGCTAATTACTGAGTGTTCTTGTGTTCTTACTGTTTTAGTAAAATTAAAACGATTTAAGTATTTGCGTCCCTGCCTCCTCCCATGATTTTCATTGTATTTCTATCATATCATGCTATATCCTTCTGCAAATATCCATACATAACCAGTTAAATGATTTCAGAGGTAGCGAGTCTAGTTGCCTCTGGAAAATTCAGTAGCCAAGCCATAGTGTATTTGCATATTGTAAATGTGAAGTGGATGGGTGTGAGGAATGAATCATATATAGTACAGGACAGCGTGATGCTACAGAGTTGGGCTTTGGAGCATTTGGAGCTGGGTCAGGCCCTGCCTCGCTGACTGCTGGCCTCCCCGCCTCTGCATTTTCTCGGCTCCACCGCAGTCAGGGCGAGCCATCTGCTCATGGAGGTGGCTAAGGGCAGAAGGGAAAGCCGCATAAGGCACTTTGCATGCCGTGAGTTCCCAGTCTACAGCAGCTGATGCTACAGCTTCTAAGCGTGAAATCCACATCTAGTTCTGAGTCATAAAGAGTTTCGATACAATCATAGGAACATTCATCTACATACACTGTGATTTCATGAATTTCAGTTTGTTGAAAATCAGGCATCAGTGGAAGGGAGACTGGCCCCGGGGTTAGAATGTCCTTCCAACTGGCTCCTCATGAGGGAGCTGTGGGACCTTCAACCTCTCAACCTCCAGGAGCTCTTCTTTCCTTGCTCATATAACCAGGGGGTTGAGTAGGTCCCCTTGAAAGTTATTTCCAGCCCCCCGGTTCTGTGAGCATATTGTACACACTAACTAGGTTCAGATCAACTTCGGTTAGACTATTAGAGGGAGGTGCACATGTATCCCCCACAGTGGAATCTCATTGGTATTTCATATAATAAGTGATTGACAGAAATAAGGATTTCATTGGGATAAAATCCTACCTGGTCCTCTAAAATAATGATTGCTCAACCAGAGCATACCTTTTCACTATTTGGGAGGGAATTTTTAATCACACAAAAAGCACATACATATCATTCAGGTCATGCTAACCATGTGTATGGAACTAATATTTGCTTTGAAGTACTATTTGCAATATATAGAATTTCACACAAAAAACCTACTAGTGCAAAGAGTGAGTAATTCAAATGCATAGTGTTTCCCTAGACTTTATTTTAGTGAATGGGGTTGCAAGAGCAGTTAGTAAGTAGCCATGTTTTAATGTTTTGAGTTCTGTCGTGTTTTATTTTACCAGCAAGTGCCAGTGCTAGTGAGTCTCTAGAAACAAGAGAAAATCCCAGAGTACTAAAGCTGCAGTTTCCAGAAGCAAGGTCTGATTCACCCTTACTTTGTAGATGAAGGGGCAGGAGCTCAGAAAGAAAGGAGCTCATTGCCTGACCCAGGTCACACGGTCAGTCGGTGGTAAAGTAGAGCTCTGACCCAGGCCTCCGGGCTCCAGCTCCTTTCACTGGATCTGGCTGCTGCCTCAGAAGCAAGGGCCTGGGTGATCAGCAGGTTGCACGGTTGAGCTGTGAGAGACCAGAGTCCCCACGCCTGTGGATGACCGGTGGTCCCCTCCATGAAGCCAGCCGCAAGCAAGCAGCAAAGAGCAGAGCTGTAACTTGACTGTTGGCCCCATGGGGATAGAGACCTTTTCTGCTTGGTCTCCAGTGTAGCTCCAGCCCCCTATCCTCGTGCCTGTTGCAGAATAGGTGCTAAGTAAATATTTGTTGACTGAAGGATCATAAAAGAAACCTCCCATATCGGTGATGGAACATTTAGTTAGCATGGCTTCTTTCTTCTTGAAGGTTCTTGAGCACGTGCCCCTGCTGCTGTATATCTTGGCAGCAAAAACATTAATTCTCTGCCTGACATTTGCTGGGGTGAAAATGTATCAAAGAAAAAGGTTGGAGGCAAAACAACAAAAACTGGAGGCTGAAAGGAAGAAGCAATCAGAGAAAAAAGATAACTGAAGGTGAGTCCACAGTACCCAACCTTGCAAATGGGAGCTGGCCAGTGGGTTGGGGTGACCAATCAATGAACAAGAGAGGTCTGAGACCTCCCTGTCCGTCGGGTCTGAAGGGCTGCGTGGGGGCATGTGGCCTCACCTGTTCTCTAAGGTAGAACTGCTCCATAAAGGGCCAGGTGTGCAGATCCTGGTCCTGGGATGTGAGTGCTGCTGAGCCAAGGTGCACGGAGCATTAGTTCATCCTTCTTGAAACCTGCGGTGGCAATGGTTCTTGACAGGTATTGGGTTAAGAATTGAGGACTCAGTGACAGCTGTGGACCTTCTTCCCAGAGAAGCACACATACTGAAACCATCTGCATTTGTGTGTGGGGAGAAGTTTGCAGATGTGGGGAGTCACAGGTCATTTGAAATTCCAAGATTAAGAAACCCTGTTACCTTTAAGATAAAGTCTGACTCCATGGTATGACAAATAAATCCCTTCCCAGTCTGGTCTTAACCCAGACCTCATTTGCCACATGTGCCCACTCCCCATCCCCCTGCAGGCCATTCCTCAGCCACCATGGCCTTTGGCCTTGCTTATTAGGTTCTTCCCAAGGACCTCCTCACCAGGCCTGAGGGTACACTCATCGTTGTCACCCAGTGCCTATCACAGTGCACACTGGTGGGCTTAGAACACACTTGGGGAGTTACAATACATCAAGGCACCAGAAAGTTCCTGTTAAGCCCCTGTTACAGATTTAACACATGACAATTCACAGTTACCTTGATTCCAGTGTGTTGATGCAGTTTCTTCACTTTGCAGGTTGAGTTCTGTACTTTAAAAATCAGGGGATTCAGCCAGGTGTGGTGACTCATGCCTGTAATCCCAGTGCTTTGGGAGGCAAAGGTGGGAGGATCACTTGAGCCAATGAGTTCAAGACCAGCCTGGGCAACATAGTGAAACCCTGTCTCTACAAAAATTAAAAAAAAAAAACAAAAAAAACCAAAAAAAAAAACCAAAAAAAAACTTAGCTGCACACTTACTGGGTGTGTAGTCCCAACTACTCAGGAGACTGAGGTGGAGGATTGCTTGAGGCCCAGAAGTTCAAGGCTGCAGTGAGGCATGATCACACCACTGCACTCCAGCCTGAGTGACAGAGCGAGACCCTGTCTAAAAAAAAAAAAGGATTCAAATATGGTGGCGGTGGGGTTCTAGATCTGTGGTTCCCAAACCTAGCTAATGATCAGAATTGCCCAGGTGTTTGTTTAAATGAAGATTCCCAGGCTTCAGCCCAGAGAGATTCCATAATGGCTCTGGTTAGGTTTGGGTGTTGGTTTTTGTTGTTGTTTTTAAGATAGGGGATCCTACTCTGTCATCTAGGCTAGAGCGGTGCAGTGGCACAATCTCGGCTCACTGCAGCCTCAGCCTCCTGGGCTCAAGCAGTCCTCCCAACTCAGCCTCCCGAGTAGGTAGGACTACAGGAGCACGCCACCACACCCGGCTAGGTTTTTAAAACAATTTTTAGTAGAGAAGGGGTCTTGCTGTGTTGCCCAGGCTGGTCTTGTACTCCTGGGCTCAAGCGATACTTTCGCCTCAGCCTCCTGAAGTGCTGAGGTTACAGGTGTGAGCCACTGTGCCCAGCCTCTGTTCTTTTGAAAACCCATTAGATAATCCTTAGGTTGTCTTCTCAGCAACAGGTCATTGTAGGAACCACTGGGCTAGGTGGCCTCCCAAACCCAGCCCACTCTGAGATTCCATGCTGAATTCCCTTGCAGTGCCGTCAGGCTTGTTGAGGCTAAAGACCTACTGATGAGGAATAGTAGCAACACCTACTAAGTGGTTATTCTGTGCTGGGGACTTTGCTAAGCATTTCATGCACAACTGTGTTATTCAGCCCTGATGACTCTGTGAGGCATGTTCAGATTGAAAGAATGGCTCTCTCTACATGGTGAAGAACAGAGTCAGAAATTGATCCCAGGTCAAATGCATTCGATCAGCATGGCCAAGCCCAAGCTGTGCTACCTTCCTGAATACAGGCAAGTGAGCTCGTAGGGATGCTTCACTCTGTTACTCACCACTTCCGGCAGCTGCCCACTCGCTGGTCCCCAGTGAACTGTAGGCTTTTGCTAGATAGAAGAAGTTACTTTCTTTCTTTCTTTCTTTCTTTCTTTTTTTTTTTTTTTTTAAGGTGTTTGATTGACTGAAATTTAGGAGTAGGCATTACGATGGGGAGGAGAGAAATTAAAAAGGGTGAGGGAAGGCAGTTTAAATTAAAATGTTGCTGATTGAATTTATATTCCTGACAATCCCATTTTGTGTGCTAAACTGATCAAAGGAAGAAAAGATGAGATGGAAGATCATAAAGGCTTTGTTCCTCCCACAAACATCAGCAGAGACCTGCATTTAAGTCAGGCCTGGATGGCTTAGAAGCAACTCAGGGAGTTGGTCTTCCTCTCTAGGCTGGCAGCTTCTTAAAGACTAGAGACTTGCTTCAAACAAAAAGCGTTTTCAGGCCGGGCGCGGTGGCTCACGCCTGTAATCCCAGCACTTTGGGAGGCCGAGGCGGGTGGATCACTTGAGGTCAGGAGTTCAAGGCCAGCCTGGCCAACATGGCGAAACCCCATCTCTACTAAAAATACAAAACTTAGCTGGGCGTGGTGGCACGTGCCAGTAATCCCAGTTACTTGGGAGGCCGAGGCACGAGAATCACTTGAACCTGGGAAACAGAGGTTGCAGTGAGCTGAGATTGTGCCACTGCACTCCAGGCTGGGTGACAGAGTGAGACTGTTTCAAAAAATAAATAAATAAATAAAAGGGGGGTGGGGTGTTTCAGATGGAAGGGAAACTGATGCTAAAAATACATTGGTTAATAAATAGACTTGAGTGATAGACTTGAGTGGTGTCCGCTTGTTAAGTTTAAATGGCTGAGCATACGTCTTTATGCTGAGCAGTAAACATCGGGTATACTCTTATCAAACATTTCCTACTCATCCCTTTGGTATTCCCTTCTAGATTCTGCCATGTAAATGTCAGCTTGAGTGGACTCCAGCTGAGAAGAAAGAGAAGAAAGACTTAATTATTGAATAATTTGTCAGAGGATAAACTCCCAACCTAGACCTTTCACTTAAAATAGTGTGAATTTGTATATGTTTTTAAAAGAACCAGTACTGGCCGGGTATGCTGGCTTTTACCTGAAATCCCAGCACTTTGGGAGGCCGAGGCGAGTGGATCGCCTGAGATCGGGAGTTTGAGACCAGCCTGGCCAACATGGTAAAATCCTGTCTCTACTAAAAATATAAAAATTAGCCAGGTGTAGTGGCGCGCGTCTGTAATCCCAGCTACTCGGGAGGCTGAGGCAGGAGAATTGCTTGAATCCGGGAGGTGGAGGTTGCAGTGAGCCTAGGTCGTGCCACTGCCCTCCAGCCTGGGTGACAGAGCGACTGCGTCTCCAAAAAAAAAAAGGTAAAATTAAAATTAAAAAAAATAATAATAACCAGTATTTTGTTTACTAAAATAAAATGCCTTTGTAAAAAAAGGAGTCGTGGCCTTTGGAATAAGTCAAATTGTGTATCTCTTTCTCTTTCTCTTACACAGCACCCTCTACCCCGTGTTGTAAAGCGGGGGGTTTTGTAAACTTACACCTCCCCCACCATCTCAAGCTGGGGGGTCCCAGGTGAGAGGCTTCCATAGAGGACAAGGTGGTGCAGAAACATCTGCTGTGGGAGTGGGGTCCCCAGCACTGGGTGCTTCGGCCAGCTACCCCCGACCCCAGGCCCCCTCATAGGCTGCCCTCCCATACCCTCCTTTCTCGTCTTTTCCTCCTACAGGTGCTACACCCCTGTGAGAGTGTTTTGGAGTGTTTTCATTGTTAGGGTGGAGGGAGGCTGTGTGTGTCCAGGAAAGGTGACTCCTGTGTTAACCATGAGGGTCCTCGCAGGGAGGAATCGTTGGGAGCCCTAGGGTGTGTTTTGTCCTCTCCTCACCTGTTTGCTCCTTGGGATTTGCTGATGAGAAATGAAGGGTAGGGCACCCTAGTAGCCACTGGAACCAAGGGCAGGGAGGATGGGAAGATGTTTTACTCAGCACCTAACACACGCAGATCCCTGTGACAAGAGCTCATGCTCTCCCACTTCTCGCAAGACCCCAGAGTGGATGGGGAGTGAGGTGGCAGCAGCTGGCACTGGAAGCAGTGCGGAGTGTTTGGTCTGGTTGCTGATGGCTGCATGGGAAACTTGCAGGAGTGTGTGTTAGTAAACGTCTCCCCGTCCTGGCCCAGTTTGTGTCGAACATTGCGTTTTCCATGTGGGGAGTCAGGGGAGTTCCATCTTAAATTGCACTGTGCTTGCTGGATGCTCTTCAGGACAATTTAGGAAGCAGGAAAGAATTTACAAAGTTCTGAGGACAGACAGACCCTGCTCCTACAAGCTGCAGTGCTCACCATAGTCAAAGTGGACTTTCACGTAAGCCCAGACCTCATTCTCTCTGAAGGAGGCCGCTCCAGCCTTTGCCAGGAGCCCTGGTGACTTTATTCTGCCTAATCCTGCTGCGGCCTGGGGTCCTGTTAGAACGTGAATGGAAGACCACAGCAGAGGTGGGATGCCCTTGGATTTCTGCCATCCCCACGCTTTCGTGACATGCTCAGATGGGGCCTAGAACTGACCCTGGGCCGTGGCCTACCATCCTCCCTTTGTCAGGGCCTCCTTGCACCCTGGCAGGTTACCCCACCCACCCTGGCCCATGTTCCTGCCCCAGGGGCCTGGCCTCTCTGCTGCCCACCCTGCAGGTGTAGGGTATCACCTGCTCCTGCCTTGCCTGGCATCAGACCTGCTACCTTGGCACCACTTCCTCCCTCATGCCCACCCGCCTGTGTGCCTCATAAGTCCAAGGCGGGGGATCTGCTGACCAGTAGACACTCATGTGCTAAACACAAGCGCTTTTCTAGGCTTTGGGATTTAAAGCTACACTTTGGAATTTGTGGAAGATCTGGCCATCTTGGAAAATTAGGTAGAAGGTGACATAAGGACTGGACTAAACCACTGATCATCCCAACAGTGCCCGTGGCTTTTCTGTTTTTTGTTTTTGCTTTTGTTTTTTTAGAGATGAGGACGTGCTGTGTCCCTCAGGTTGGAGTGCAATGGTACAATCATAGCTTATTGCAGCCTTGAACTCCTGGGCTCAAGCGATCTTCCCACCTCAGCCTCCCGAGTAGCTGGGACTAGGCCCTGCTAATTTATTTATCTTTTGTTTAGAGACAAGGGTCACGCTGTACTGCCCAGGCTGGGTGTAGGTTTTTTCTGAAGAGCATTTGGGAGTTTTGTTTTTGCTTGGTTACTTTTCCTATGCACCCTTCTACCACTAGGGGGAGATGATTAATCACTAATTGAAGGGATTTTGTTCGTTTTTTATGTTTTGGGTTTTTTTGTTTGTTTGTTTGTTTGTTTCAATAAAGAAAGAGTTTAATTGCAGTAAGGCAGGCCGCGCAGGAGATGGCGTTCTTATTCAAATCGGTCTCTCTGAAGGCTCAGAGGTTAGGGGTTTTCAAGGCGGAGTTCTTGCTATCATTCCACTCCTTAGGTACATGAAGTTGGTAGATGTGTAGTTTGATGTTAAATTATTGGGTGGATGCATGCACCGCTGGTTGTAGAGACTGGTAAAGCCCACTAGCAGGACCCCACCTGGACCAAAGCAATCCCTCAACCCGCTGGACCATGACCGAGAACAAACACAAAGGACCTGAAATGCGTTGTGAAGGCCAGAAGCCGACATCCACATTCTCCACCCACGGAGAGCCCCAGAGTCCCTCATGCACATCCTGCTTGATCTATTACACACATTCACACATTCGCAACACATTTGTTTGGTTTTCAAGCTTACAACATATTAGAAACAGAAAGGAAGAAAGGCTGTCAGCAGCAGAAATACCTTTGAGCAAGAGGGACGGTCTTTGAGAAGCAGACTTGAGAACTCACCGTGTGCTCTTCATGCGCCAGACACTGCGGCAGCCACAGCGTCCCACATGGGATGCCACACGTGATGATGTTATGTTCATGGTGATGACCTCAGGCGTGAAGAAGAGGTTCAGCCGTTTCACACAGTCTGTTTAACAAGCACATACATAACACAGACATACGTGAGGAATCTCAGAAACCAAATAATTCAAACAAAGAGTCTGGGATTCTTTCAAAAGCGTTGCCTCTGCCCAAGCTTTCTTCAAATTCTGTCTATAGGGAAACGTAGCTGTCAATGTCTCATTCCCGAAGACTTCCAGATGCCTGGATCTTTAGAGTTCTCCACCTCACCCCGAGTTGATTACACAAATGTTCCTGGGGCTTTGCTTAGTGCCCTGCTCTGTGCCAGGCCCCACAGGCAGAGATGGCAGGGACCCAGGCCTGACGTTGGAGAGCTCCTGACCCACTGCCGGAAACACACGCACCATCACACCATGAGGGAGCTCCCCCATGCAGATCTCATCTGTGTCAGAGTGAAGCCAGAGGATGGACGGTGGAGAGTCTAGAAGGAGAAGAGAAAGGAGGATGAGTTCTCAAACATGAGCAAGCAGGAGAGGCCATTTAAAATGCACACTCTGGCCTGGTGCAGTGGCTCATGCCTGTAATCCTAGTGGAGGCCGAGACAGGAGGATCACCTGAGGTCAGGAGTTTGAGACCAGCCTGGCCAACATGGTGAAACCCTGTCTCTACTAAAAGAAAACCAAAAATTAGCTGGGCGTGGTGGTGCATGCCTGTAATCCCAGCTCCTCGGGAGGCTGAGGCAGGAGAATTGCTTGAACCCGGGAGGTGGAGGTTGCAGTGAGCAGACATCGCACCACTGCACTCCAGCCTGGGTAAAAGAGTGAGACTCTGTGTCAAAAAAAAAAAAAAAACCAACCTAAAAAATAAAAATAAAAATAAAATGCAGACTCCTGGGCTGGATTCCAGGTCCACTGCATCAGAACCTGCAGGAGAAGGACCAGGAATTTGTGATACGAACATCCCCAGGCAATTCTTGACCCTCCTTTTGAGACCTACACTGTAGAAGATGGGCAGAGGGAGAGGCAGCAGGAGCCCAACCTGGGAAGGAGCCATCGGGAAAGGTGGGAGGAGGGGCAGGAGACAGCGCACGCGAGGCAGCAAATCCTTCAGCCCTTACTCCCCAAGAGCTCACAGCTGCCTCCACAGAGGGTAACGGTATCATTATCCCCTTTTCGCAGATAAGGAAACTGAGGCAGAGAGGCCCTGCCTAAGGTCCCCCAGCTGGTGGGAGGCAGAGACAGGAACCAGCCCTCATGGTCTCACTGTGAGACTGGACTTTTCACAGCTGTGCGGTCGAGTCTGAGCCAAGTAAAGTAAAGCGAGTTTTTGTACTTCGAAGTCTGGGACATAAAATCTTCAAGACGTCAGCATCAGTGACACGATGGTGACAGAGGCCAGCATTGCTTGTTGTATCTTTTTCCATCCTGTTCCTATCTACACTTCCATTCTTCTGTTCATTCTGCTTGCATTTCCCACCCAGATGGCTTTCACGGACACACACACACACACACACACCGCACACACACACATCACTCACAGACGCACCCTGTGCCCAATGTCAAAAGACAAAACTGCAACACGTTTAGTCATAGACCTCATTGTCTTTTATTCTTGATTCATGAATGGGGCAGCCTCCCTTCTATAAAACAGAGCAAGAGCTCCCACCGGACAATTGCAGAACAGTGGGCTTTGTAAGGTGGGGACAAGGAAACAGAACAATAGAAAAGAAGCTGATGGGTTAACATCAGGTTACTTCAGGACCTCCTAATCACGCTGACTCAGGTAGACCAGAAGCTCCTGTTTTCAGGAAAAACTAATCTGTTTGGGGACCTACCTGCTTCCTTATTAAAGTTTTGGGTTGATTATATGGCTCTTAGCATGACTGACTCCATTTTGGTTTGGTTTGATCTGGTCTGTTGGGGCCTAGTGCAGGATCTCAGTCCAAAACAATAGCCTCCCATAATTTTTGTTTAATGCTGGGTCAGCGGTAGGCTTGGTCCACTTGCGCTTCTGCCTGGGTGGGCCTTCCTCTTTTCCTCCTTTTCTCTCTGTGGTGAAATCCCCATTCTTCTTTCTGTCCTCCACTTCAGTTTCACCTCTTCCTGCAACCCTGCCCACAGCTCTTCAGCGCCAGGCCCTGGACTCAGCTCTCACTACGCAAACCTCCAACATCTCACTGAGTGGGAGGTGGCCCCCACCTCCACACCAGACCTGGACCTTGAGGGTCCAGGCTTGTTTTCCTTGGTACTCCTGGCCCTGACGCACCCAGCCAGGCACACAGAAGGTGCTCCAGTATTTGATGAGTGAATGACTGGTAGCACCAGAGGAAAGGGAGCAGGGAGTATGGCCAAGACCATTAGCTGCCTTCCTCAGTGTTCCTTCTCCCCTTCTCCCTAGTAATAGAACCCTGACTTTTACCTGGCCGTATGGTCACTCAAAATAAAGGACTACATTTCCCACCTTCTCTCGCAACCAAGCCTGGCCAATCAGGTTTAAGTGGAAGTGTAGTGTGGGACTTCCTGGAAGGATCTTTAAAAGGGACAGGATGGGCCCCTCTTCCTCCCTTTCTCCTTTTTGGCTGCCTGGAATACTAATGCAATCGCTTGTTCCGCAGCCACTTTGGACTAAGAGGTGAGTTTGAGACCTGAACCAAATCTAGGACAATGGAGTAAAAAGATAGGATCTTGGGCTCTCAGTGACCATGGATCCATCATTTCACCCCTGAACTGACACCTTGACACTTCTTATTTTTGGTGGTGGTGGTGGGGTAGCTTCTATTTTGTTGGCATCTCTGTGGTCTATTCATAGTTCACCTGTTTTAGCTGACACATGGAGCCAGTTAGAGATGGGCGCAAGGGCTTCCTGATATGAAGACTTGGATTCTGGTCCTGACCCTCCTGTTACTACTGTTACGTACGTGGCTAGGTGAGTCGGTCACCACCCTAGCCTGGCCTTTGTAAAATGAGCTCAATGATCACTGCCCTCCCTACTGTACAGTGTTTGTCTGAACTGAATGAGGTCAAGCATGTAAAGATGGTTTGCATGTGGCAGGACAATCACAAATGGAAGGAGTGTATACTACCTCGGTGGGCAACTCAGCCACCAGTTGGCCAGGCAGGGGCTCCATCCAACCCAATTGGATTGAGCCAATGGCCAACGAACCCCATTTGCTAATTTACCTCTTAGGTCCTTGTAGGGGCAGCACCATTTCCTAATGCACCCCCACCTTGAAAGCCACCTTGATCCGTGGGAGGGAGAGGGGCTGTGGGTATTAGTGATGGGGAAGGCCAGAGAGGCTGGGATGTTCCATCAGCCAACCACTCAGAAGGAGAATAGTGCCACCAACATCAGGAGCTCACTTCTAGTGGACATGTCTAGAGATATGTGGCTCAGCCCTGCGTTGCTGCGTGTGGTCACCCGCTCTTAACTAAATACAGTGCTCTAAATATGGCTGCTCCCAAAGAGACTGTGGGCTGTCCTCACCAGCCATCCTGTCCCACCCCCACCAGAAGAAACCTCTTCTTATTATTAATTCCCTAACCGATTGCAGATATTGCAGATGGTCTTAAAGGAAATGCCAGAGAACAAAGTTTCCTCTGATCAAAGTATCTTAAGATGTGTCCACCCTCATTAGATGCCAGCGATAAAAAGGAACAAAAATTTTTCTCAAAGAGTGAAAAGGAAATGAGATCAGTGATGGCAGGTCTAATTGTGGACATGTTTGCTTCGACCTTACCATGGACCACTCACTCAGTGGGTGCCAGACACAATGCAGTGGCTTGGCGCAGGTTATGTGATTTTTTTTTTTTTTTTGAGATGGAGTCTTGCCCTGTCACCCAGTCTGGAGTGCAGTGGCATGATCTCGGCTCACTGCAACCTCCGCCTCCCAGGTTCAAGCGATTCTTCTGCCTCAGCCTCCTGAGTAGCTGGGATTACAGGCATGTGCCACCATGCCAGGCTAATTTTTGTATTTTTAGTAGAGATGGGTTTTTGCCATGTTGGCCAGGCTGGTCTCGAACTCCCAACCTCAAATGATCCGCCCACCTTGGCCTCCTAAAGTGTTGGGATTACAGGCATGAGCCACTGCTCCTGGCCAGGTTATGTGATTTTAAAGTCCCACTGTATTTTATTAAGGAGTTGATTGAGCCTCAAGGAAGTAAAGCAACTTATCCAGAACATATAGCTACGAAGCTAGAAACTCAAGATTCCAACTAGGTCCATCCAATTCCAAAAGCCCGGTGAACTTTCTGTTACTTTCTATGGGAAGTTTTCAGGTTTAGTATAAAGCAACATTTCTTAATTATGAATACAATCTTATGTAACCAAATTGCACATTAAAGGGTATTCCTTTTGATCCTTCTTTCCTCTTTTCTAATAATTTTTACAAGGCCTCAAAGGAATAGAACTCTAAATCTGTTTTATTAAATTGCTTTAGTTTTCAAACAAAAATAGCTCCTGTTGGTTTATCTTTAGCTGATAACCTAAAAACATTCCTTTTTTATCGCTGTAAAATAATGTGTCTTTAAAGGATATTCTGTCTCCTCTTTAATTTTATGTTGAAATAAAATTTTTTGGTGTCCAGGGGAGTTGGCCATTTTAGCGGCTGGTGTCTCATCTGAGGTCAGAGGTGAGTCTTGCGACATAGAAATGATGGGGGTGAAAAAGGAAAAGCTCAGCTTCAATAACTAAGCTAAGCACGGTGGTGAGGAGCATGGGCTTCAGAATCTCTTGGCCCCAGTGCCTTGCCAGTGCCTCAGTTTCCTCATCTGTAAAACAACTGACAGGATTAAGAGAATTAAATTATAATAGCTATGCGTTAGTGGCATCATGAAGAATGGCTCTAAGCATGAATTCTGGGTTGAATCTCTCTGGGCCTCAGTTTTCCACATTTATTTATTTATTTATTTATTTATTTATTTATTTTGAGAGGGAGTCTTGCTCTGTCACCCAGGCTGGAGTGCAGTGGCACAATCTCGGCTCACTGCAACCTCCACCTCCAGGATTCCAGTGATTCTGCTGCCTCAGCCCCCTGAGTAGCTGAGATTACAAGTGCCCGCCATCACACCTGTCTAATTTTCGTATTTTAGTAGAGATGGGGTTTCACCATGTTGGTTGGGCTGGTCTCGAACCCCTTACCTCAAATGATCCGCCCACCTCGGCCCCCCAAAGTTCTGGGATTACAGGAGTGAGCCACGGTGCCCAGCACGTGTAGCTGTTGGTGCCTATTATTCCAGAACCGCAGAGGCATGGAATAAACGGGATGTAGGGCAAAACCCACTCATCTCCCAAAACTCAGGCCACCCACACGTGGGCCTGCACAATGACAGCACACTGAAGTGACCAAGGAAGTTTGAGTACCATGGTTTGCTCTCAAGGAACTTAAATCCTAAAACGTACATGAAATCCTGAGGGAAAAAGACCTCACAAATATACTACACAATAGGAGTTATTTCACCAGGTTAATTGCCAATGAGAAATGCAATGTTTCTATTGGCAGAGCAAGACTTCCTTTAGCACCTGTGGCTGGCTGAATAGTGGCCACCAAAGATATCAAGGTCCTATTCCCTGGAACCTATGAATGTCGCTTTAGATGGAAAAAGTTCTGCCTATGTGACCAAGTTAAGGATTTTGAGATGTGAAGATGGTTTTAGATTACTCAGGTGGGCCCTGAATGCAATCTCAGGTGTCCTTGTAAGAGGGAGGCAGAGGGAGATTTGACACAGGATGAGAAAGTGGTGTGGCCACAAGCCCAGGAATGCCGGTGGCCACCAGAAGCTGGAAGAGGCAAGAAACAGGTCCTCCCTGGAGCCTCTGGAGAGAGTGCTGCCCTGCCAACAGCTTGCCTTTGGCTGTCTTCTCTGTCCTGTCCTGTCCTATCCTTTTTCTTTTCTTTCTCTCTCTTTTTTTTTGTTTTTTTGGAGATGGAGTCTTGCTCTGTTGCCCGGGCAGGAATGTGATGGTGTGATCTCGGTTCACTACAACCTCTGCCTCCCAGGTTCAAGTGATTCTCCTTCCTCAGCCACCCAAGAGGTGGAATTACAGGCGCCCACCACCATGCCCAGCAAATTTTTGTATTTTTAGTAGAGATGGAGTTTCACCATGTTGGCCAGGCTGGTCTCCAACTCCTGACCTCAAGTGCTCCTCCGACCTCAGGCTCCCAAAGTGCTGGGATTACAGGCATGAGCCACTGAGCCACCGTGCCTGGCCTCTTTCCCTTCCCGTCCCCCTTCCTCTTTCCCTTCCCTTTCCCTCCCCTGCCCCCTTCCCCCCGCCCCCTCCCTCTCCCCTGCCCCCTCCCCCTCCCTCTCCCCTCTCCTCCCTCCCCTCTTTCCTTCCTCCCTCCCTTCCCTCCCTCCCTTCCTTCCTTCTCTCTTTCTTTCTTCTTTCTTTCTCTCTCTCTCTCCCCTCCCTCTCCTCCTTAGCCCCCCTCCTTTCTCCCTTCTCTCTCTTTCTTTTTGAGACAGGGTCTCACTCTATCACCCAGGCTGGCATGCAGTGGTGCGATCAGAGCTCACTGTAGCCTCAAGCTCCTAGGCTCAAGCGGTCCTCCTGCCTCAGCCTCCCGAGTAGCTGCAACCACAGCCACTACATCTGGCTTAATTTCTGTTGTTTTAAGCCACCAAGCCTGTGGTAATTTGTTTCAACAGCCACAACAAATTAATATAGCACTGTTGACTGTCAAGTGAGGCCTGCAACAGTGGAAACTTTATAGTTCTGAGTGGTCAGCTGTTTGAGGTGTGATTAATCTCCAGGAAAAATGTTACCAGGATTCCCTTTGTAACCATGACAAAATGCTGAGAAGTGGTGGACACTTAGTTGCTGAAAAGCACTGAACGTTCGCTTTCATCTGACAAAGTCTTTCTGAATAATACAGGGAGGTTCGGGAGGGAAAGAAGGCAAGCAAACGATGGGATGCTTTCTGCACGTGGCTGTCAGGAAATTCTGGGTAGAAATTCTTTCTTTCTCCTTTTCTTTTCTTTTTGAGACAGAGTCTGACTCTGTTACCCAGGTTGGAGCGCAGTGATACAATCTCTGCTCAATACAACCTCCGCCTCCCAGGGCTCAAGTGATTCTCCCACCTCAGCCTCCCTAGCAGCTGGGAACATAGGTGTGCGCCACCATGCCCAGCGAATTTTGGTATTTTTTGTAGAGACGAGGTTTCACCATGTTGCTGGCCTCGAACTTCTGAGCTCAAGCAATCCTTTCACCTTGGCCTTCCAAATTGCTCGTACAGGCATAAGCCACTGTGCCCAGTCCAGAAATGTTCATAAATTGTTTTTTTTCATAGACCTTATTTTTTAGAGCCATTTTTTAGATTCATGCAGAATTGAGTGAATTGAGTGGGTGCCCCACCACCCACCACCGCTACCAACATCCCATGTAAGTGTACAAAATTTTTTTTTTCTTTTACAGGCAGGGTTTCACTTTGTCACCCAGGCTGGAGTGTAGTGGACAACCATAGCTCACTGTAGTCTCAAACTTCTGGCTCAAGTGATCCTCCTCCCTCAGCCTCCCAAGTAGCTAGGACTATAGATGTATGCCACTCAGCCCAGCTATTTTTAAATATTTTTGTAGAGATGAGGTCTTGCTGTGTTTCCCAGGCTGGTCTTGAACTCGTGACCTCAAGCAGTCCTCCTGCCTCGGCCTCCCAAAGTGCTGGGATTACAGGTGTGAGCCATTGTGCCCAGCCATAAATTATTCTTTTTGCACTCCTCGGAATGATTACCTCTGAAATGACTGTCTGAATGTACATAACCAACAGTGAATTTTATGATATGTTTAATAGGGGTAGTCTTTTTCTATAAAAATGAAAAAGACAACCACAGATTCTTACAACAGACATCGGCAGCAGCCCCAAACCTAAATAGGGAGGTGTTGTCCCAGCTGCAAGTGGCTCAGCTACAGGGTCTCGAGATGAAACTCCACGGCACAGTCTAATGACCTGCTGGAATTCCTGGAGTTGGCGGGGAGATTGGCTGGATAAGTGGTCTCTGCAGACCCCCATGCGTGCCACCCCTTTGCCCACCATAGCCCACTTGAACCCACCACTGTCATAACTTTCCAGGTCCTAACTGGGACCACCTACTCCCCTTGGAGGGTCCGGATGGAGTTTCCCCTCTGCGGCTGCCTCTCACTCATCCTCCACCACTTTGCCGACAAGGAAGGAAGGACAATCGGGAGGAGGGAGTCTTGCTTGGCGACCATCTGGACAATATCTCGCCCATGGCAAGCTGGATCCCTGTGGATTACTTTGGTGGGTGGAAACTTGGCACACTATTTAATTTGGGCTTTTTGGGGGATGACTGCACACTGGTTCTCTTTTTTTCTCAGACCTAAATTTCGACCACTCAACTTTCAGCCTGCTCACCCCTGCTTATTGCCATCCACCTTTGGGCTGGGTTAGACCTAATCCTCCCCTTGACAAAGCCCTCAAAGTAGCCTTCACAAGATAAGAGTCGAGACCCCTAACTTACCAACAAATTTTAATGAAACTTCTAGTAAACTCAAAGCGCTTTGCCAACATCCTTAGGAGCAACCCAGTTCTCGCAGCACCCCATGTGAGGTCGCTGTTGAAGTATCTTTGGCTGCAGTGGTGTGGAATTCATCTCAACAGAGTTGACGGTAAAGACCAGACATGTAGCAGCCTCACTGCTTGTTGGAGGAACCACCCTTAAGAAAATTTCCCAAGATAGTAGTTTTCCCATCTCCGTACTTTGCTAGTTAATGTTCTCCACTTGCTTGCGTTTATCCTTTCAATTCCTTTGCTAATTAAATTGCTGAAAAGTATACATTGGTAAGAATAGCCACTGTCAATGGACTGCAAACAAAACTCGTTTCTGTTATTGATGATAAACCATTTCAGAGAAGACCAGGCTGAGTCTAAAGGGTTCAGATAATTACAAGGGGAAGGCAGAGAGAGTAGTTCATGGCCACAGGACTTGGCCACCTCTGGGCAACACATAATGCTTGCTAAGCTAATGACTGTAGGGATATAGAACTGGCCCTCAGCCTCTCTGTCTTCCTTTGGCCTCTGCTCTTCCTGCTGCCTTCTCTCTTTGACCACGATGACACACTTTCCATAGGCCTTCCTCACCACATCACAGAACTCAGAGAAGAGGCTGTCTTCTTGTTTGATACACAGCTCGTCTCTTAGGAACACCCGATATTTCCAAGGCACCCATCCTTGACTACCCGCAGCATGCACAATACACCAAGTTGGGGTTTGTATGAAATATCCATCACTAATATCTTCCCCAGTTACGAGACTTTCTGGGATATTGGTTTCCCCAAAATATACGGTCTTAAATCCATCATATTGCAGTGTTCTCAGGGTTTTCAGATATTGGAGGCATTGCTTCCTCTTGATGCCATCAAATTGACTTCTGATAATGACATTTCTTAAAAGAGGGCTTGCAAAGCGAGGCATGGTGGCTTCTCAAGTGTTTTTAAAAGCTTGCACATCTGCATCTGGGGAGAGATGGCAAGTGGGGGATGATGACCTCATAAAGGGCTTTCTTACAGTGGTGCCAGTCCCACACATACACTTCAGATTTCAAGCATCATGGAATAAATACTCAGAACAACTCCCTGCTGACCCATAAAATATGGGAATTGCAGATGCTACCCATAAAAATGCTACTTTGACATCACTTCTGCAATAGGTCTGAGACAGAGGTTGGCAATCTTTTAATAGTAATGAGCCTACCCATTTGGCTTAAGATGGGGAGAAATGTTTACATTCATTCATCCATTTCAAAAATATGTACTGATCACCTGCTGTACACCAGGCATTGTGCCAGGCACCAGGGGTATAGTCATGACACACCCAGGGAGTCCTGGACTTACGTGTTGTGTGTCTGTGTATGCATAGAATTTGTGCCAGTTGCCTTCCCATTTGCACAACTAAGAGTGATTTTTTCCAGGTGGCAGAAGGAAGGTATGGCAAATTGCAAAAGAAAGTCAGTCTGCACACCTAGCTTCCACTGGCGCTTGCAGGTCTTTTTTTTTTTTTTTTTTTTTTTTTTTTTCTGAGAGGGAGTCTCTCTCTGTTGCCCAGGCTGGAGTGCAGTGGCACGATCTCGGCTCACTGCAACTTCCGCCTCCCGGGTTCAAGTGATTCTCCTGCCTCAGCCTCCCGAGTAGCTGGGACTACAGGCACCTTCCACCATGGCCGGCTAATTATTTGTATTTTTAGTAGAGATGGGGTTTCACCGTGTTAGTCAGGATGGTCTCGATCTCCTGACCTTGTGATCCGCCCGCCTCGGCCTCCCAAAGTGCTGGGATTACAGATGTGAGCCACTGCGCCCACCCGGAGCTTGCAGTTATTGAACTAATTCAATACCTCATCTTGAAAGCACTTTTAATTTTATATACTCAGGCAAAATGACAGTTTGCTTCAAACTCTAACCATCTCTTCCTTTGTATTTTCTTGCCTCTTTAATCAGAGCTAAAGACATTTCATAAAATGGGCATGAAGGATTCCTTCAAATGAAGACGTGGACAAAATGATTGGTCAGGTCCTTTGCTCTACTGTTGAATGGAGGAGGATTTTTTTTTTTTTTCCCTCACACAGGGGTTTTCTTGGAGCTCAAGTTTGGATGACCCCAGACAGTAAGATAATCTCATCATGGTAAAGTTAATATGAAATATGTGGTCTCCAAACAGCCTCTCCCAGAGGCCAGGATCAGCAGGTTTGAGTGGATAATTGGCTTGTGGTCATTTTCTCATAGGATTTTTCTTTTAGTAGTGGAAACTGTTTTTCAAATCAAATTTGGATGCCAACTATGTGGAACAGAAGTGTGGCTGCTCTGGTGGAAGTGGCAATGGTAGTCCTAGAGTCTCCCTGTCAGCCACACCCTTTGTCTCCCCCTACCCAAGGGACCCTGTGGCCTGGAACCGCAGTGTGAAATGCTATATAGTGCAATGAAGTCAATTCGAAGACAAGAGTTCTTTGCCTTTCTCATCTAATTTTTAGTTATGGATATGAGACGCTTGTTCAGAAGTATGGAAAAGTATATATAATATGTTATCTTTTAGATGTGGGTGTAAATATGCTTATGTATGCAATATGCTTATATTTTAACGCATAAACAACATGAATAAAGCAAACACTCTAGACTTCTCCAAATGTATCTTGTTTTACAGTTTTCATTTTGGAAAATGTCAACATTTTTACATTAAAAAATATTACTCAGCCATAAAAAAGAATGAAATCACGTCTCTTGCAGCAACATGGACAGAACTGGAGGCCATTATTCTAAGTGAAATAATTCAGAAACAGAAAGTCAGATGCCACATGTTCTCACCTTTAAGTGGGAGCTAAATAATGTGTACACATGGGTACAGAATGTAAAATAATGGACTTCGAAAGGGAGGCTGAGATGGGAGGACCATTTGAGGCCAGGAGTTTGAGACAAGCCTGGCCAACATGGTGAAACTGCTTCTCTACTAAAATGCAAACAAATTAGCCAGACATGGTGGCTGACACCTGTAATCTCAGCACTTTGGGAGGCCAAAGTGGGTGGATCACTTGAGGTCAGGAGTTCAAGACCAGCCTGGCCAACATAGTGAAACCCCATCTCAACTGAAAATACAAAAAAATTAACTGGGCATAGTGGTGCGTGCCTGTAATCCCAGCTACTTGGGAGGCTGAGGCACGAGAATCATGAGCCGAGATTGCACCACTGCACTCCAGCCTGGACAACAGAGCAAGACTCCGTCTAAAAAAAGAAAAAAAAAGAGGATAGGATTAGGGTGAGGGATGAGAAATTATTTAATGAGTACGATGTACACTACTACACTCAAAGCCCAGACATCACCACTGAGCAATCAATCCATTTGACAAAACTGCACACCTGCACTTGTACCCCTTAAATTTATATACAAACAAAAACAAAGGCAAATCAAAAATAAAAATAAAACAAAATGATCTCTAAACAATACAAACAGTAACTGATGAACCTAGCTGCTTATCATGTCAGTTCCAAAATCACACAGAGTTGAATTTCTTTCAAATGACCCTACAACACAGTATTTTGATCATATATTCTCCAGTAGAGTATAAGCTAAGGACAAAGAAAAACACATGAAATCTTAAATGGTACTCGGTAGTTTTATTGTTAATAATGATGCTGGTATTATTATTTTGAAACTCATGTCCATTTCTCAGCTGCCATTTGATATTAATTTTTTTTTTTTTTGAGGTGGAATTTCACTATCACTCAGGCTGGAGTGCAGTGGTGTGTTCTCAGCTCACTGCAACCTCCACCTCCTGGGTTCAAGCGATTCTTCTGCTTTAGACTCCCAAGTAGCTGGGACTACAGGCACGTGCCACCACACCTGGCTAATTTTTGTATTTTTAGAAGAGACAGGGTTTCGCCATGTTGGCCAGGCTGGTCTCGAGCTCCTGACTTCAGGTGATCTGCCTGCCTCAGCCTTCCAAAGTGCTGGGATTACAGGCGCGAGCCACTGCGCCCAGCCAGTGATTTTTAACCTTTATCAATCTGATAGACAAAAAGATCATTTCATTGTTTTAACTTCTTTAATTATGAGTAAATCTGGCAATATATTATGAAAACAATGACAAGAAGAACTTGATATAAAATGCACAATTCAGACGTCCTTGAAGATCATTTTAGAGGCAGCATGAAGTGGGGGGTGGCACTGGTGATGGGGGCTGGGTGTGGAGAAAACCAGCCAAAGGAGGACTCATGGGATCCTGGAGCTTTTGACTGGGGTTCACTTGGAGCCCATACTCAGGCTGGTTCTGACAGCAGCACCTGCCAGGCCTCAGCTTAGGGGCACAATGTGGGACACATGGACTGGGGGTGTGGTCCCAGAGCCTAAGAGGCACCAACAGAGAGGTCTCCGCAGAGACTCATCTGTGCCCCCCACCCACCACCCCGGGACAGGCCAAGCCAGCGTCTGGCCAGGAACTGCTTTTGCACAAGGAGCCAGAAGTAGTTTGCCCCGATAAATGGGGGCCTGGACTCACGCAAACCATTGCACCATGGATGGCCAGAGAAACTCAGAGAACCTTCCTGTGCTTGTTAACATACTCTCTCACGTCCTCTGCAGCCTCTGCCAAGCCAAGCAGCCAGCTCCTAGGACTCCCCTCCCTCCACCTGAGGCTCCTTGTCCTCCCTTCCTCAGGAGTCTCCAGCCTCCCGGGACTTCCCCTCCCCGCTGCCCACTCCAGCAGAGGCTGCCAACTGCCTGGGAGAGAGAAGTGGGCTTCCTGGGGCCACCTCCCCAACTTTGGAGTGTTTGGAAGGTGATGGAGCGACCACTAGGAGGCAGTGTGGACAGGTCTCTGTAGGACTGCTCAGGCAGACACCTTTGCAGGGACCTCCCAGGTCGGGAGCCCTCCACACTTTTCCCATGGGAGCTTCTCCCTCCACCCCGAGTCACTACTATCTGCTTTCCTAGAAGGCACTTCTTTACTTCTAATTCTTCTCCACTGCCCAGGTAACTGATATTCTCAAGTGGGACATTGTAATTTGTTTAATTCATTTAAATTGATTTCATATAATTGGGAGATAAAGATTGTTCAGTTGCAAGACAAAGTCTTAACTTGAACTCTCAGGACACGGGTGGGTCCCTAAACTCAATACGTGAGTGTTGCTGCCGGGCTGTTGGGCCATCTTCCACCCGCCATAGATCACTTTCTTCATCAAAGAAGAAGGAATATTTAGAAACTGGTAGTACAAAAAAACAAACAAACAACAACAACAACAACAAAAAACCAAAACAACAAAAAACACCAAATCACCAAAAACAAACAAACAAAAAACAAATAAAAACCCAAAGCAGTTGCTCCTATAAATAGATGTGTGTATACATGTGGCTGGTATGAATCTTATCCACAAATTCAGTTTTGTGGGAAACATCACATTTATTTATTTAAATCAAGTCATATGGGACTTGGGCATGGTTGGAGGTTCTTACCCCACCCCACTTCCCAAGGCCAGTGCACAGGCAGGGCCTTGAGGTCACCCTTAGCCGATGCTTGGGTCTAGGTGCTCAGACCCAAGCCCCTGTGGTCCCATCATGTGGGCACTGGCATCTTTGCTGAGGCTGAGAATTTCAAAGCCAGGATCCAGCCCATTTAGGTAAACCCAAAGTCACTCTCCCAGGTGGCCCAGTCATCTTCTTGAGAACAAGAGCCATGAGCCTCAGTTCCCTGCCTCAAGAGCCTCTGTTCAACCCTAGGCTTGTAGACAACTCTGCCCCTTCTTCTCTCCCTTCAGTGTCACGGTCCCCTGTCCCATCCCTCTCTGGGACAGGTACCACAACCTCCCCACCATACACAGGGAAAGGGTCAGCCCTCAGGTTTTTGGCCTGGCATCTTGAATCTCCTCCCAGGCAACAAACCACAGAGGGCCTGGCATTCTCCTGTGAAAAGCAGGGCGGAAAGGAAACACAGAGAACAAACCCACAGACAACAAACCCAGAGGCAACTAACCCACAGACAACAAACCCACAGAGAACAAACCCACAGAGAACAAACCCACAGACAACAAACCCACAGACAACAAGCCCACAGACAACAAGCCCGCAGAAAACAAACCCACAGAAAACAAACCCACAGACAACAAACCCACAGAAAACAAACCCGCAGAGAACAGACCCAGAGACAACAAACTCACAGACAACAAACCCACAGAGAACAAACCCACAGAGAACAAACCCACAGACAACAAACCCACAGACAACAAACCCACAGAGAACAAACTCACAGAGAACAAACCCACAGACTACAAACCCACAGAGAACAAACCCGCAGACAACAAACCCAAAGAGAACAAACCCACAGACAACAAACCCACAGACAACAAATCCGCAGAAAACAAACCCGCAGACAACAAACCCACAGAGAACAAACCCACAGACAACAAACCCACAGACAACAAACCCACAGAAAACAAACCCACAGAAAACAAACCCGCAGAGAACAAACCCACAGACAACAAACCCACATCAACAAACCCACAACAACAAATCTACAACAACAAACCCACAGAGAGCAAGCCCACAGGGAACCAGCCAAATTATGTCTGCTGTGCATCTCGGCAGACGATGCTGCCACCGTCTGTGTATGAGCATGTGTGTGTCAGACTTTCCCATCGTCTCCAAACTTGTTTTCAGAATAATGCTTCCAGTGAAATGAGTCGGCCACATGAGGTCACAAAGCCCCTACTCTGTTCAGCACCTGGGGTAAGTAATAATATTTTGGAGCACTTAGTGTGGGGAGTAGCCCTGACCCCTTTACATGTCATGTCTTAGTTCATTCTTGTTGCCATCCTTGGAATTGAGGCCAACATCATCTGCCCATTTGCCAGACAAGCTGCTCAGGAGGAGAGGGCCACAGCCCCTTATCTCCTCGCCAAACAAGAGAAGATCCCCAGTTGCTTTTTTTTTCTGTGGAAGAGATTCTTTTAAAAACATTTTTTTCATGGAGAAGAAAATCTGAAAAAAAAGAATGAAACCGAACCAATAGTCCCATAGACAGTTAGTTGTTGTTGTTGTTGTTTTGTTTGTTTGTTTGTTTTTGATGAATACAGAAATTGACCCTTCTGGTCTTAAAGCTTGAAAATTAAATTTGTTTTATCTGAGTTGCTTCCTCAGGAAAGGAGCCCAAGTCCTCTCCAAAAGTATCAGAGAACTGAAACTCACCAGATCATCTTGTCTAGACAATGAGACGTCAGGCCCTCCATTCATCATGACTGCTTCCTTACCCCTCCCGAGTTCCTGTTACATTTCTTCCCTGCTATATAAACCCCTAATTTTAGTGGGTCCAGAAGATGGATTTGAGACTGAGCTCCATCTCCTGGGCAGCAGCACCCAATTAAAGCCTTCTTCCCTGGCAATACTGATTGTCTCAATGATTGCCTTCCTTCCTTCCTTTCTTTTTGAGATAGAGTCTCACTCTGTCACCCAAGCTGGAGCACAGTCGCTCTATCTTGGCTCACTGCAACCTCTGCCTCCCAGGTTCAAGCACTTCTCCTGCCTCAGCCTCCTGAGTAGCTGGGATTATAGGTACCCGCTACTACAGCTGGCTAATTTTTGTATTTTTTTTTTTTTATAGAGATGGGGTTTCACTATGTTGGCCAGGCTGGTCTCAAACTCCTGACCTCAGGTGATCCACCTGCCTCGGCCTCCCAAAGTTCTGGGATGAGAGGTGTGAGCCATCACGCCCAGCTGAGTATGTGTGTGTGTGTGTATGCTTATGGGGATGTGCAAATGTGTGTGTGAATGTGTGCACGTGTCCTTGTGAATTGTGAATACCCAGGACTTGAGCACACTCAGTTCCTGATGCACTTCCTGTTTTCTCAGCAGCTGAGCTCAGGCCTGGAACTGAGTGACAGCACACCCGGGCACCTGTCTCCCTGGGCACCCCTCCCCCCGGACACCCCTCCCCCGGGCACCCATCCCCCCGGGCACCCCTCCCACGCCTGCTTCCCACGGCATTCCCAGCTCCCACCACTGGGAAGGAGCTGGAATCATGAGTCGGGATAATCACCGAATTCTCTTCGACCTTCCTCAGCTCCTGGTTTGTTAAGGCAAACCCCCATCTCTGGCTTCTCCTGGAACCTCACCTGGGAAAGAAAGAGGCAGCCCCGGAGCTGGAAGCTGCTTCAGGGCTCACCCGGAACAGCAGACTCAACCTGGACCCATCCAGGCATCTCCTGGGAGTTTCACCCAATTGCTTCTGCCTGGCACCAGCTCAGAGGTTCTGACAGAATTGGCCTGGGGTGAGACCTGGCATCCATGGGATTTTTACAAGCTTCCAGGTGATTCTACAGGGAAGCCAAGGTGAGAACCCCTGTCCTAGAACCAGGTCTGATCAGGGGCCGGTGGGGAACTGTGGGTGGAGAACATTAGTGCTTCCAGAGCCTCAGGGTTGGTTTTGAAAGGAACGTAACACATTTTTTTTTCTCACAAAGACATATAGAGAGAGACTTTTTAAAATAGACATATATATAGAGAGATGTTTTAATAAAGAGAGGTTTGGGTTTATATAAGTAAAAAAGATGATAGAAAATAGAGAATGAGATTAGGCTTCCCCTTGCTCTCAAAAAATGGTTTGAGAGTCTTGGAACTGGTTCCACTCTATGATAGCCATGAGTACTGTTCGCCCAACTTTTGGTTCTCAGCCTTCCAGGCCCCGGTGGGATGAGACTTCCCTGCCCCCACGGTTGAGAGGAGCCATGGGCTTATTCTAGCCAATGAATGGTGGATGGACGTGACTCGTGTCTCTTCCAGGCTGGAGCATTTAATTGTCCAGGTGAGATACTCAGGGACTCGTCCCTCCAGAGCTGAGAATGGCCATGTTTCCAGAGGGTCTGCAGGAGCAACCTGAGTCTCAGAGCACAGCCACCAGCAGACCTGCTGCACGCATGTGGCGGGGGAAAGAAAGAAAGCCAGCTGTCTGCAGCCACTGAGAGTTTGGGGTGGTTGTTTCTCATGACAAAACCAGCTCACCCTGACTTATACAAAGTCTTTGAGTTATATAGATGGAGAATGAGGCTCTTGGGTCCCTCTATTCTCACAAAGCAATAGCCTAGCTAAATCCATCTAACTAGGGAGCAGAAAAGGGGATGTGCTGGCTTGCACACCCTAGACAGTTGTTCAAGAAGTCAGGACACCAGGCCTGGAGTGATACTTCAGCCATCCTTCTAGGTGAGGGTCTTGAGGCCACACAGACAGAAGTGGCAGAGATGGGACACACATTCGTCTTCTCACTCACAGTCTGGCACTGAGCTGTGGGCTGCTGGGACACCATGCCCCCATACGAGTAGCCTTCCCACTCCTTACCTTGAAGGAAAAGTGTTTTTTGGACAAATACCTGATGGAAACATTACATGGGCCTTGGAATCTGTTAGATCTAGCTTCCTGAAACTCTTGCTAGCTGTGTGACAATATACAAGTTTCTTAACCTCTCTGAGCCTCAGTGCTCTAATTACACTCCCCTCATAGAGTTTCTAAGAGCATCCTGGGGCTGGCACGTGTCAACGCACCCAGTATTTGATAGAGTTTGTTAAACGTTGGTTATCCTCTCTCCCTATCGCACCTCAAATGGTAAGGGCTGCCTGCCAGCTTCCATATCCCCAGCAGTGCCCTGAGTTGTTCAGATGTTCATCCATCTCCCACAGAACTCAGGTTCCTTTGGAGGAAGCCACATCAAGTCCTGCTCCAAGCTTAAGCCAGTCAGCACATTCCATGCTCTGCCCCATTGCCAGGGTTCAGGAGTATGCTCGTGATCTAAGCACCCCCACTCCCAGATACAGCTCAAGATTCTTGCTTGGACTTCTGGGCACTCAGGCTCCTCCGAGAGGGAATCAAACTTACTTCTCTCCATGTCCTTTCCTCTAGGAGATGCGTCTTTCATAAAACTCTCATCAACACTGTTCAGACATGTCCCACCCCAGCAGGGGACAGCCTGGGCTCAAGCTGGGATCCCTACTTTATTTATTTTCTGCTAATTAAACTTCCTAATATACTCCACACTAAGTGTGCTTGCAAGGCAGGGGGTGTGGGATAAGCGGCCCTGCCTGGCTGGGAGAGGGGGCAGCTCCCTGCTGTACTATGTATTAATAAAGAGACACATGCATGGCAGGGCTTGTCTGGGCCTTGGTGGCAGCTTAGGACAGAAGGCACGTGACAGTCAGGGGTTCAAACAACCCAGGGAGAACACTGCTTCAGGGAAGACAGCTCAGCATCTTCCTGGCAAAGATAATGACATTGATAATACTCTCCAAAGAATTTCAGGATTTTGAGCAATCAGAAAAGCAACACAGAAATTCATGTCATCAAAACGATATGGCTCTATTGGACACTTAAGACATTTATTGGAGGCTCAACAACATAATCCTGCTGGTTGGTTTTACTTCATTGATTTTCCGTTGTGTCTGATTACATTGCTAATGCTGATGGTGGATGAGCTACGGCTCTTTTCCTGCCTGTCCTGAGGTTTATCCACCAATGTTTCAGTTCTGTTTTAAGATATTGTCCTAAGCCCCCAGCATCGCATGCATGCTGTTTTTTTGTTTTGTTTTGTTTTGTTTTTTACAAAGAGTTCATAGCCCGTGGAAGACTCTCCTCCATCACACACTTAGGTTCCCTCCACACCAGGCCTGGAAGGAGTCTAGCTTCTGGGGACTGTACATATGCTGTGGACCATGCAGAACCTGGAGAGGCGGTGACCCCTTCTAGAAGTGATCTGCCTGAATCCTTCCCTCTGGAGGAGGCATTTATTAAATGCCAGGTTCCTGAAAGGCTCTGAGATGGGCACTCCCTCTCCTGAGTCGTCCCTTCCATTACTGCTTTCCTATTTCTGGCCAGGGTTCCCTGGCCCCTCCTCCCTGCTCCCATGGGACCCCAGTTCATCCCCATCTTTGCTCAATTGCCCTGCACTGTAGTAATCCATTGGCACTCTTGTCTTCTCCAGGAGAAATAGTTGGAGGAGAAGTTTATAGGGTTTCCTGGGCCAGGGCTGGTCTACAGTCACTGGACAGCAGGAAACGACCCTTCGGGGCCTAGGAGGGCCAAGGCTGGTGGGCAGGTACAGGGGGAGCCAGCACTGCTGTCCACCACTGTGCAGCCTGGAGGCTGTTTCCCATGACCCTGCTGATGGGACCCAAGGCACCCCAGGCCACCCACTCCCCTGCCCCCAGCAGGGTGTCAGCTCCCCGGCTTCCCTGCATGCCTGCCTGACATGGACAGTGCACCTTCGGGCCACACTTGCCCTGCTAGCGAGCCTCCAGTGAACTGGGAATTCCACAGAGTGTAGAGGACTCGCCCCAGCACTGTGCTGAGAGGCTTCACCAAACTGTAGCCTGGCTTCCACCTGCACTAAGCTGCATCCCCAGAGGCGACCCCAGCCCTGGCTGAGTCTTGGCTCAAGACTTTGCAATGCAGCCAAATCACAAAATGCACCTCGTCCAGCCCACCCCGCTAAACCATTTTCAGTAGTTCTCCCCTCACCGTTCTGGAACTTTCCATTTCCACGTGGCCCCCACGTTCTGTTTTCATTTCTCCTTCAGTCCCTTTTTGTTCCCTTTCTGTTCTCTCTTTGAAGACCTCAGTCACCGTTTTCTGAGTTGGGGTTGAGCTTGGTCGGTACTGGAATCTCTTTCCGCTGCTGCAGGAGTCTGAAGGAATCAGTCTTGCCGCCTGTAACACATGTCCAGCGCTGCTTTTTCTCTGATGAGTGTCTTAGTCAGTTTGGGCTGTTAAAACAAATGGCTTAGGCAACACACGTTTCTGTCTCACAGTTCTGGAAGCTGGAAGTCTGAGATCAAGGTGTTGGCAGATTCGGTACCCGGTGAGGACCTGCTTCCTGGTTCGCGGGTAGAACACTTCTTGCTGTGTCCTCACAAGGTGCAGAGAGAGAGGGGGGTCTGGTGTCTCTTCCTGTAAGGGCACTGATCCCATCATGGGGGCCTTACAATCGCGACCTCATCTAAACCTCCCGAAACCTCATCTAAATCTCACCTCCATACTATCACATTGGGGATTAAGGCTTTAACATGTGGATTTCAGGGGACAAAGGACAAAAGCATTCAGTCCATGGCACATGCTCAGTGCCTCGACTCTTGCAAGTGCCACACCACAGCCTCTCTGGGGCTGTGTCCTGGAGGCGTGTGCCATGGGCCCTGTGTGCCATGGGCAAGGCGCACAGCATCCTCCCGGCCACCCCACCAGCGAGTGAGCTCCTGGCACCCTGGCTCTCTCTGGTCACCCATCTACCAGTCTTGGTGCTCCTGTGCACTAGAGGACCAGCTGCCTGGGGACTGTGGGCCAACTGTGGCCCCGGCCACCCACGAACTTCCCCTCCGGCCAGTGGCTGCAATCACATCTTCTCTAAAGACGTCTGAAGCCCAGCCTTGGGGAGCCGAGTTGGTCCTTCCCTGGGTACTGAGCCCTAGGGAACCCTTGAGAGTTCTCTTTGTATCTTTGTAGTTTCTTCCTCACCACTTAATCATTTCCTTACAGGAAACTTCCTGTGTTCAAGTGACTGTATGGTTTCTGCCTCCAGCTTCATTTGTGGGTGCCATAAGAGAGGCAAGCATGGAGCACTAGGCGCAGGGGATGGGCAACTGGCAAGCGGGGAGATGCATGCAGCGCACTTAGTGCCTGGTACATACCAAGTCCTTTTAGTCTGGATTTCATTATTTTTAAATGGGTATTGCTATTTTTAAAAGAATAGTTACAAATATTTATTGTGTGTTTTGAAATAAGTGGGTCAAGATCAATAAGATATTGTTGATCAATTGATCAATAAGATATCTTTTATTCTTAAAAATCATATTCTTCTGGTTCAGTGGGGAAGAGACTGCCGACCTGTATTTACAGCATTATGTGATAAGTGTTCTCCTTTTCAGGTATGTATTAGTCTGTTCTCATGCTGTCAATAAAGACATACCTGAGACTGGGTAATTTATAAAGGAAAGATGCTTAATTGACTCACAATTCCTCATGGCTGAGGAGGCCTCAGGAAACTTACAATCATGGCAGAAAAGGAAGCAAGCATATCCTTCTTCGCATGATGGCAGGAAGGAGAAATACAGAGCAAAGTGGGGAAAGCCCCTTATAAAACCATCAGATCTTGTGAGAACGCAATCACTATCAAGAGAACAGCATGGAGGTAATTACCCACCGGCTCCCTCCCATGACGCATGGGGATTATGGGAACTATAGTTCAAGATGAGATTTGAGTGGGGACACAGGCAAACCATATCAAGGTGACTCCTGCAAGCACCTACCTCCACCCCTCCTTCATCCTTGCCCTCATTCTACAATGATTTGGTGAAATCTGGTCCCTGCCTCAGTTTTACAGCCTCCCCATGACTCTGGTTACTTCCTGATTAGCTTAAACGAAACCTAACTAGGTTGCCCTAGGAAAGCATTTCTGTTCCTGACACCCCCCATCTGCCTGCTGCTTCCGTTCCACCTGTATGTGTCTGGGCACATCCCTGCATCCCTTTGCTGGCTTCTAGCCTACTCACTTCAAGCATTTATCCCATGAGTTTCATAAAATCGTAGAAGAAAAGGGCTTGAGGCAGTGGTGGGGAAATGATAGGAAAGTCATTTCTGGATGCATTCTGCCATCCTGCAGATCCCTAAACCACCTCTCCCTCTCCATTCCCTCCCTCCAGAGAACAGCTTCTCCTTGTCTCCTGTGGAATAGTTCCGCCCACATTCATGGGCCCTTCCTGTACCAAAACTGTACAGGTCTCTCTTGCTTACCAAACACTTGGCAAACAAATGTGCCGTCCTTGGAAAAATTCTGTTGAATAAAATTTTCTCTCTTTGATCCATCCAAATGTTTTACAAAGTGCTACAGAAGCCATGGAGGAACAAGCAATTCTGCCTTAGGGATCAAGGTTTCACACAGGGGGTGATATCTGAGCAACAGTGCTTTTTTGGTTTGTTTGTTTTGTTTTGAGATGGAGTCTCGATCTGTTGCCCAGGCTGGAGTGTGGTGGCACAATCTCGGCTCACTGCAACCTCCGCCTCCCAGGTTTAAGTGATTCTCCTGCTTCAGCCTCCTGAGTAGTTGGGATTACAGGTGCCCGCCACCATACCCAGCTAATTTTTGTATTTTTAGTAGAGACGGGGTTTCACCATGTTGGCCAGGCTGGTCTCGAACTCCTGACCTCAAGTGATCTGCCCACCTCGGCCTCCCAAAGTGCTAGGATTATAGGCATGAGCCACAGTGCCCAGCCAACAGTGCTTTTAATTGGCATTTTCTTCAAAGACTTTGATGTCCTATAGGAGGGGGCCTATGACTCAGCCTCAGCCAATCAGAGCGCTCCATTCCCTGGGTCACCTGCACACCTGCTCTTCCCTGATCCACTGCAGTGCCCTCACCCTGAGATCTGAAACTTGAGCAGAGGCACTAAAAGGCAGACATGGGAGCTGAGCTGTCTTTTGGGAGAATCCTAGTGAGAAGGTTCTCCAACTGGGGCCGCCAAGTAAGGGCCTCATGGCAGACTAACCCCTCTCCTTCCTAAGGCTGGGAGGAGCTGCTGTCCTTTTGATTCTGTGAGCTACCTCAGTTACCTTCCTCAAAATCACACACACGCGCACACACACACACACACACACACACACACACACACACATTTGCATGCGCTAGGTAGAGCTGTTTTCCATAATTGCCAACAGAAGACTAACTGTATTTGAAGAATGAGCTGGCATTCTTCTGCTCCGGTAGAAGTCAAGGCAATCAGTTATGAGAATCAGAGCCCACCTGTGACTCCAGAAAGAGGTGCATAAATACCAAGAATTTAGTCTCTAAAGTCTTTCTTTAAGTCCTTTTTTAAAAAATGTGATGAGTACATCACCCAGGAAAATCAAATTGTAATGCAACCGAGTCGATGCAAGTTTTATTTAGGAGATGGGTTACAATCACCTGGGGAGGCTCTAGTTACCTTGATTTGGTCTGGTACAAACCCTAGCACCATCATCCACAGATCCCCAGAGGAAGTCATTCCTGGATGACTTCCTCATCGATTTTAAATAATTTCCATTTCAGAGGAAGGCCTTTATCTGACCTGATCCCCTAAATATTGGGGGAAACCTACATAGGGACAAAGACAGCAGGTGTCTGCAATGTTGAGAATCAGTGTGTTCTGTCACTGTCTCTATCAGGGCTGGTGGCACATGCAAATCTCTTTCCCACTCTCCAGTTGAACACTAACGCCATGGTGCCCACACCTTCCTTATTAGTCCATGTACATGGGGTTTGTCAAGACAGTGGTTCATGGCTCTGACCCTGAGCATGTCAGATTTCAGGGGCTTTATGCAAAATATCCATACCAGTTGGGGTCATTTCCCATCAGTATTGCTCACAATGGAGCCTACAAACCCCTAGTTCCCATCCAACACATCTCCAAGGCAGACTCTCAGACCAGCTCCCAGAAATGAGGTGAGTTTAGATCAGGCAGCAGAGAGGTGGCCTAGGAAGGAGTCCTTGGAGCTCATGCACCTGTGTCTGGGCACCAACAGGAAGATGGTGGCTTTTGCTCTTTGGGAGATATCTTTGGAGCCAGTCTCTGACCACATGTCCAACAGGACAGGCATCCTTGGGGTTTCCATGGCAGTCTACTGACAGTCAGGGGTGAGGATTAAATGGTACAGAGTCTCACTGAGTGCTCTTTGAGAGGTCAAGCAATGAGAAGTCCTGCAAATGATTATTGAGCTGAAGTAAGAAGTGTACCGAATCTGTTTTTCCCCTATAAATATAAAAGCCTATAAATATAAAAATCTTGGTGAAAAAAAATGATCCCAGCCTCCCACACAGCACATCACACATCTTCTCTTTTCAAATTTGACTCCAAGGCCCACTTCCTTCGGGAAATCATTTATCCAGTGGTATCATTTAGGATATTTTTGGTTGTGAGGAACAAAAGCCTAGCTCCAAAAGACTTAATAAAAGGATCTCATTGGTTCACAAACTGAAAAACTCCAGTGGTAAATGAAGGCTCTGGGTACAGTTGGTACAGGCTCTGGTCTCTGTAATTTCCTAGTTCTTCTCCCTTCTAGATGCTGGGTTTTTGCCTTCAAGTTGGCTTTCTTCATGGTGGCAAAATGGATCCAGCAATTCTGTCAGAGGTTTTCGAAGCAGAGTGACTCCATCTTGATTAAAGGCTGTGTAAAATGAGGATGAGACTTGCTGGACTGCATTCCAGGAGGGTAGGCATTCTTAGTCACAGGGTGAGACAGGAGGCCAGCAGGATTGATATCACAAGACACAGGTCACAAAGACCCTGCTGATAAAACAAGATGCAATAAAGAAGCCAGCCAAAACCCACCAAAACCAAGATGGTGATTAATGTGACCTCTGGTCTTCCTCACTGCTCATTATATGGTAATTGTAATGCATTAGTGTGGTAAAAGACACTTCTACTAACTCCATGACAGCTTACAAATGCCATGGCAATGTCCAGAAGTTACCCTATATGGTCTAAAAGGAGAACCTATATAGTCTAAAAGAACTGAGGGTTCTGAGAAATCCCTGACCCTTTCCTGGAAAATTTATGAATAATCCACTCCTTGTTTAGCATACAATCAAGAAATAACCATAGTGTACTCAGTCAAGCAGTCCCTGCTGCTGCTCTGCCTATGGAGTAGCCATTCTTTTGTTCTTTACTTTCTTAATAAACTTGCTTTCATTTTACTTTATGGACTTGCCCTCAATTCTTTCTTGTGCAAGATTCAAGAACCCTCCCTTGGGGTCTGGATCAGGATCCCATTCCCGTAACAATTTCAGGCTCAGATCGGCTTTTAACACCATCCAGAGCAAGAGAAAGCTTTTTTGTTCCAGAATTCCCCATTAAAGTTCTCCTGGTCACTCTTATTGGGTTGTTTCGCTTAGGGTCAGGTGTCCATCCTGGTCCCAAGCAATGAGGCCAGGAGATGGGATGCAACGACTGGATCAATCTAGGCCTCTTATTCCCACTTTTTAAAACACTTATTATTATTATTTTTTAAAAATTATTTTTCATTCAGCTTTTTCATTTGAAACTTATTCCAATTCTTGAACTGGGGGTAGTTTCAACTTTCCTAGAGCTGTATGGGTCCTCAAATGAAAATTCGGGGCAGCTGGATTAGAGAAGGGGGAAATGCATGCTGCAGGGGCAACCAACAAGGGGAGATTGTGCCAATTCACTCTTCCTATCCTCAGATTCACCTAAGTTCTGACCATTCAGCCCCATTTGAATGCATTCTGTATTCCTATGACTGTGGATTACATTTTTGTCTACCTTTGTGTCTTCTGTTTTGTCCTGCCCTATAAGCATCTCAAACATATGCATAAAGCCTATATAAACTTTATAAATAAACTAACACTTCTGTTTTCAACCTGTAGGATGATGACAATGATGATGACGACAATGATGATGGTAATGATGTGGAAAATGTGAAAAGAGAAAGAAATACTTGGAAATATATCTCACCCTCCATAAACAAAGCTCGGGGTTTAATTCTGACCTGTATGAGTTCATGGGGTGAACTGCAGACCGCTGTCTGTGGACAGGAAAACGATATTTCATCTCTAGCCCCAGGGACATCTCCAAAAGCTGAGCTAGATGAACTTTATATAAATTGGTACAAAATATAATTTTCTCTTTGCCTGCTGAAAGCCATTTCTAGAAATTCTGTTAATCAGAATCTCCCTAAGTTAATCAGTCATCTAGACAGATCTTATTTCTTTTTTAGACAAAGAAAAGTATATAAGTAACAGGTATTGGTAAACCACTTGAGTGAAGCATATGATATCTAATGTAAGGAAATCTAAAAGTGTCCACAGGCAAAATCTCATGGATTCAATTGATAGCACAGGTCATCAACTGACATGCAGACGGAATTCTCTTGTGGAACAAGACAATACAGCCATTGCTTAGAGACTAATTGTCAAGGAATTAGTCATTTCCTGTTTCAGAATAGCATCATCACCACCACCATTAATGCCAACATCAACCACCACCACCTACGCCACCACCGTTAGCATCATAACCACCACCAATAACATCACCAACAGCAACACTGCCATCAACATAAACCATCACCACCACCAAAACCATTAGCATCACCTAGAACCACCAGTCACCACCATCACCACTTACCACAACAAGGCTTATATTTACATACTTATTTTACTTTTCGAAATACATTCACATGCATGGTTTCATTAGATCTTATCTACTTGGTAAGGTTGGCAGATCTGACATCATTAGCCTCATTTTATCTGTATGGAAACTAAGTTCTAGAGAAGCGAAGTGATGTGTGAAAGGACACCAGAGTGATTGATAATCAAATCCAGACTAGAGTTTGGTTCTTCTGACTCCAAAATTAATACATTTTTCTTAAAAGAAAAAAATTTTTTTTGAGACAGGGTCTCACTCTGTCACCCAAGCTTGAGTGCAGTGGCATGATCACAGCTTACTGCAGCCTCGACTTCCCAAGCTCAAGCAATCCTCCCACCTCAGCCTCTCAAGTACCTGGGACCATAGGCACATGCCTGGCTAATGTGTTTTAAACATTTTTTGGCTGGGCACGGTGGCTCATGCTTGTAATCCCAGCACTTTGGTAGGCCAAGGCAGGCGGACCACAAGGTCAGGATATCGAGACCAGACTGGCCAAAATGGTGAAACCTCATCTCTACTAAAAATACAAAAAAATTAGCCAGGCGTGGTGGCACATGCCTGTAGTCCCAGCTACTCAGGAGGCTGAGGTAGGAGAATTGCTTGAACCCAGGAGGCAGAGGTTGCAGTGAGCTGAGATTGTGACATTGCACTCCAGCCTGGGCGACAAGAGCAAACTCCGTCTCAAAACAAAACAAAACAAAACAAAACAAAACAAAACAAAACAAAACAAAACTTTTTTTTTTTTTTTTTTGTAGAAACGGGGTCTCCCTAGGTTGCCCAGGCTGGACTCAATCTTCTGGGCTCAAGTGATCCTACTGCCTCAGGGTCTCTAAATGCTGGGATTCAGGCATGAGCCACCACACCCAGCTCCAATGCTTTTTTTGTCGTACCTAATTCTTTCAATGAAAATGAAGAATTTCCAACTTCTGATATTAACAACTTTGGTCCTATATTCAAGCTAGAGTCTTTCAAATAAAATAGACTTTTAAAACCATCTGTCTCCAAACCCTAAATGTCTCAGGTGAGCAACTAAGCTGCTCAGTTTATGTGACTCCCCAGAAGTTGAATTTTAACCCAGAACTGACTCCAAGTTCATTCTTCTTTCCACGACAAGGAGTCACCTCCTTGTATGCCCCCAGGAGTCTCCCGGATTCCTCCGAGAACAGTGGAATAGTGCTCCTCCCCAGAGCACAGGTTTTGCCAGTGAAGATTGAATTTGGCTAGAAACCGCTGCCCTGCTCTCTCTTCTCGAAGCACCTGGAAGTCTGAGAAGGAACTGGGTGGCTGGCTCTGGTCACAAACTAGCAGCCAGAAGCACCCCTTGTCAGTGATGCACCCCCAGTCCCCCTCAAGGGCTCCAAGTAAACCCAAAGCTGCTCCCCTCCAAGAAGTCTGGGGCCACCCTAGGGAAGGCCTCCTGGCCTTGACTCTCAGGGGGTCTCTGGGGTTGCGGTTTGGGGCCCGCTGCTTCCGCCCTTTGCCCCCAGGTGGGCCTGGCAGGGCTGCAGCACAGCTCTGTTGCTGATAGACAGGGTGGAGCACTTGGCGACCTTGCCCTGCAGCCCTGTCATTTTGAGTTCAGAGGTCAGATTTGAGTAATAAACATCTTCTAAGGACTTGTCATTCTTTCTGAGGATGTTGCTGGCCAGCCGGAAGACGAAAATCACCGCGTAGATGCCGATGATGGTGAGTATATACCAGGCAGCGCTGGTTCCGTCTGGCACCTTCAGAGCCCTGGTGGAGTTGGTGTCATTCCTCCCCTCTGTGTGGTCACCCAGCAGGAGCCCCAGGAGGGTGCTGGCCTGGGTCTGGTTGGAGGCTTCATGGGGAGTCCACTTGGCCCCTGAGAAACAGAGAGGTCCGGATGAGATCCAGCGTCCTGGGCTGAGGGCTGCCTGGCCACACCAAGGAGAATGGAGCCCTCATATCCGTGAAAACGTGTCGCTGCTCAAAGAGGCCTTCTCTGAGGCATGAGCAGGAGTGTAACAACAGGTATGTCAATATATTTTTAAAAATCAAAAGAGTCCAAAACACTATTTTGTTGTTGTTTTGTTTTGTTTTTTGTTTTGTTTGTTTTAGAGAGACAGAGTCTCTGTCACCCAGGCTGGAGTGCAGTGGCATGATCATAACTTACTACAGCCTCAACCTCCTGGGCTCAATTGATCCTCCTGCCTCAGCCTCACAAATAGACATGCAGCACCATGCCGGGCTAATTTTTTTCTTTTTTCTCTCTCTTTTTTTTTTTGTAGAGATAGGGTCTTGCCATGTTGACCAGGCTGGTTTTGAATTCCTGGTCTCAAGAGCTCCTCTCACCTTAGCCTCCCAAGCCCTGGGATTACAGGCAGGAGCCACTGTGCCCAGAAAAACACTAAGTTCTTGAATAGGAGACACAACATCATAAAGATGTCAGTTATCCCTCAAATAATTTATACAACAAACATAATTGCAATAAAAACAGCAATAGGATTTCTTTGTGAAATCAATAAACTATTCATTTAGAAAAATCAACTGTTGGCCGGGCATGGTGTCTCATGCCTGTAATCCCAGCACTTTGGGAGGCTAAGGTGGGAAGATTGCTTGAGCCCAGGAGGTTGAGACCAGCCTGGCCAACATGACAAGACCCTGTCTCTACAAGAAATAAAAAAACTAGCCAGGTGTGGTGTGCAAGCCTATGGTCCTAACTACTCAGGAGGCTGAGGCCGGAGGATCACTTGAGCCCAGGAGGTTGAGGCTGCAGTGAGCTGTGTTCACACCACTGCATTCCAGCATGGGACCCTATTTAAAAAAAACAAAAAAAGAAAGAAAGAAAAAGAAAAAGAAAAATCAACTGTCAAGACTAATTAGAAAAAAAAATCTGAATAAAAAGAATGACTAATGAATTAGCCTAGCCACAAATTTTAAATCAGCCAGCTATAAAAACTAATTTACATTTTTTTCAATGAATGAAAGCTTTATATGCACAAAGCCCAGCTGGGACTTGCTGGGCTTTGCAGAGTGTGTGGGCTGGGGGTTCTTCAGAACCAGGTACAACTCTCCCTATAAAACTACAACAGTGCTGGGCATGGTGGCTCACACCTGTAATCCCAGCACTTTGGGAGGCTGAGGCAGGTGGATCACCTGAGGTCAGGAGTTCGAGACCAGCCCTGCCAAAATGGAGAAACCCCGTCTTTACTAAAAATACAAAAATTAACCAGGCGTGGTGGCACACACCTGTAGTTCCAGCTACTAGGGAGGCTGAGGCAGGAGAATCGCTTGAGTCCAGGAGGTGGAGGTTGCAGTGAGCCAAGTGATGCCTGTAGTTCCAGCAAGACAGAGCAAGACTCTATCTTAAAAAGTAAAAAAATAAAAAATAAAACTACAACAGCTAAAATAGTGTGATGCCTGTAGTTCCAGCTACTAGGGAGGCCGAGGCAGGAGAATCGCTTGAGTCCAGGAGGTGGAGGTTGCAGTGAGCCAAGATCGGGCCACTGCACTCCAGCCTGGGTGACAGAGCAAGACTCTGTCTTAAAAAATAAAAAAAATAAAAAATAAAACTACAACAGCTAAAATAGTGTGGTGCTGAAAACACAGGCAAGCAGACCAATGAAACAGAGTAAAAACAGCATCAATAGTTAGCAATTAGAATTTGATAGCTAGCTAATAAAGGAGCATTTCTGATCGGTGGGAAAAGATGAATTATTCAATATGTAGCATTGGGGGAAATAGCATTAGATCCACATCTCTCCACCATATGACCAGATAAATCGGTCCAGATTAAAAAAAAAACAGCCCAGATAAATCAAATATTTTAACATAAAAAGTGAAATAATTTATAGTACTAGAGTACAGCATGGCAGATTTTTTCTTTATCATCTCAGAGTGGAATATTCTTTTAAGCATAACAAAAATTCAGAAGAAACAAGAAATAGAAATCAAATTCAACTACATAAAAAAAATTAAGCTATTTCATACCATAAAACCAACAGGCAGATGACAAAGTGCAATTTATATCACTGATTTTCTAAATAGCCTTCGGTTCTGTAAGAAAAAGTTTAAAACTGCAGTAGAAAAATGTGCAAAAGATATGGACAAATAGTTCACAGGGAAAAAATGAACATTCAACATAAGAAGAGCTTCTCAATATCACTCATATAAGAAAAATGCAAATTAAGATAATAACTAGATACCATTTTGTTACCTATTGGACTTGCAAATTCATGATGTTTCAGAATAAACTAACAAAAAAATGGCTTTTTTTTGTTCTTTTGTCCAGCTTAGAAGAAAGGTGTCTAAATTGGGAGCAAAGGTGGCAATGACGTGGACTTGACACCAAAAAAAAATTTTTTTAAAGAAAAGAAACAAGTGCCTCTGCATTTCAGGGGTTTAGGATTGGCATTTTTAAAATGTCAACAAATAAATGTTCATATCCACACTTGACATTTTTTCCAAGGAGAATTTTAATTGTATAATTGCTGGTAAATTCATGCAGCCAACATGGAGGGCACACGGACAAGATCTATGAGCATTACAAGTGCACTTACCTTTGACCCAGCAATTCTATCTCTAGGAATCTATCCTAAAGATGCTCCAGAACATCTAGAGACAACATATGCTGAAGGTTAGTCATTGCAGTCCTCCTTGTGATGACGAATGCCTGGGAACAGCCTGAATAGCACCAACTGAGGGATGGTGAAATACATTTTGGAACCTCCATGCAGTGGAGTACTACACAGTCATAAAAAGCAATGAGTTTTTTATGGTACTGAATGTTAATAAGTGAAAAAATAAGCTAATGGTGACATGCTCTGCAATGCCACTTGTAAAGAAGGGGGAAGTTATATGTTATTTGCTTGTACTTTTTTTATGTATAGAACATCTCTGGAAGAATGAATAAGAAATTAGTATCTGCAATTGCCTCTGGGGAAGAAACCTGGGGGAAGAAGATATATTTTTTACTGTTTGCCCTTTTGTACACTTAGTACCGTGTATACTTATTTTTGAAAAGCAAGAGTGTACCAGTTGGTACTTTTCTGGTCTCCCTGGTGAGGTGCCCCTGGGTAAAGCCGTTGTATGCCCTTGTAAGACCAGAAGATTAAGATCTCAATTGCTGTTCAATTCAAAACTGTTTTCTCTGCTTGGAGAGCTGGTGGAGAAAATGAAACAATGAAAACCAGAGCTGTAGAGTGCAATCCTGTGAGACATTTCCCAGTGGGGCCTTACTGGCTCAAACCCCCATTTCTTGCTCTAATGTGAACACAGATGTATTTAAAAACACATCATAGGATCAATCTTGCAGCCTGCTGTGCAGAACAAAGGTGCTCCAAAATGCTTCCCATTTGATCGTTGTTTGTTGCTAATTCATTTTGCGAACGCAAGACTCAGAGAGGCCAGTATTTTTTATTATAGTTAGTTGCCAGAATGTGTGAATGAGCTTATTACTTTTAGATGAAGGAAGAAACTATTTAAAAATTACTTTTCAAACTACATGTGACAAAGCCCAGGACAAATGAACAGATTTAATTACATAAAATTAGTCACTCGCAAGAAACAACACCACAAGCATAAATTTACACCATTGTTTGGTAGAATGGTTTGAGACATTAAAGTAAGGAAGGTGAAAAATTCCCGTAATTATTGCAACAAACAAACAGACAGCAAATCAACCCAACAAGAACACAATATCCTTATATTAGGGCAAGAGAACTTATTGAAACTCAGAACACATGTATAAACTCATAGAACTTTCTAGAAATTGTCATAGAATGATGCAACACATTCAAATACAAATAAAATATCCCCAACTAAGAGCTACACACAGAACATTAAATTATTTAAAAACCAGTCCATTTTCTACACGAAAGAAACTCACTATATTAATTACTGCAATACATTACATTTTACCTTTCTTACAAAGGTAAAAGTAAGTTAGGTTGTATCTTAATGGACAAACATATCCTGTAGAAGAGAGAAACTTTTTCCTCTGTGCTATTTTGTACTTGTAATTTAATGACGTGAAATATGTAAAATCTCAACCTGCCCATCCTTGCATTGTAGCTGAGTACTCACATTCCATGGGGTGGTCTTGTCCTTGACTCTTGGAGGGGCAAGTTCAAGCGGCTACCATGCACAGAAGGGGAAGATGATGAAAGGAGAACTCCGTCTCCTAGGGAAGAATCAGTCCTACTGCAGTTGAGCTGCACTGAGTTTCCAGAGTGGGGAGTAATATGATCTTCCAACAATCTTAGGGCAGCACCAAACAGAAACTTAGTAAGTGGATGACTTTGCTTTCATGCAATTAATCAGAGGATCCGATTTGCTGTGTCTTCTGTTGCATCAGAACAGAAAGCACTTCCCAGCTTTGACTTGTTAAGAAGTTCTCAATCAAAACAAATTTTTAAAACGTGCTGGTATTAAGGAATCTCCATCTCTCAGGTCCCATCATGAACTGAGGTGGCCAGAAGCTCCCCCTGAGGCTGGCTCTCCGCTTAGAGCTTGGATGGCTATTGAATTCCCCTGTGTTCTGCACCTGTTGCAGGTGTGGCAGATGGCCAGGTGTGGCAGAGATCTGTCATCATAGGGCCAGGAAACTCCATGGTCAAGAGTCACCAGCTTCCTCTGGACAGTCTCCCAGATGAGGAAACCCAGACAGGAAGGGAGTGACACCCCAAGGGTGACACACCTGAGGGGACTTGGGCTTTCCCTGAGGGGTCAGTGGGCAGTGGACTCCTGTGCCAGGTGGTGAGAAATGGCTCTTCTCTTTCCCAGAGTCACAGACCCCATTGGAGTTGAGGTAGGCTTAATTGGAAAGTGTTAGAGTAAGTGTCTGCGGGTAAAGTTTCCCCAGGAGCAGGGAGGGAAAAGTTGGAAGACTGGCAAGTTAAATCATCCAGCCATTGTTTCCAGTTCCATTTCTTCCTAATCCTCACTCTAGGACTCTAACTTGCCACGTTTGTGATGGTTGCTGGTTTTTAAGATACAATTTGATGAAATTTCCATCAATGGGGTACTGGGTAAGTAAGTTATAAAATAAGCCATATGATCCAGCAATTCTACTCCTGGGTATCTTCCCAGGAGAAATAAAAATGTAAGTTTACACAAAAACTTGAACACACATGTTCAAAGCAGCATTATCTGTAATAGCAAAAAATGGAAACAACCCAAATATCCAACAACTGACTAATGAATAAATAAAATGTGGTTTATCCATACAATGGAATGTTATTCAGCAATAAACAGGAATGAAGTACTGATATATGCCATAACACGGATGAAACTTGCAAACATTGTGCTAAATAAAAGAAGTCAGTCACAAAGGACTACATATTGTAGGATTTCATTTATATGAAATGCCAAGAATAGGCAAATCTACAAAGATAGAAAATAGATTAGTGGTTCACTAGCGGGAGGGATTGGGGGTGATAACTAAGGGTATATAGCATTTTTGGAGGGGTAATAAAACTTCTAAAATTGTGGTGCTCACTGTACACAATCTGTGAATATACAAAAAAATTGAATGCATACTTTAAATGGATGAATTTTATGGTATATGAATTATATTTCAATAAAACTGTTAAAAATTATAATATACAAGCTGGGTGCAGTGGCTCACACCTGTAATCCCAGCACTTTGGGAGGCCGAGGTGGGTGGATCCCCTGAGGTTGGGAGTTCGAGACCAGCCTGACCAACATGGAGAAACCCTGTCTCTACTAAAAGTACAAAAAATTAGCCGGGCATAGTGGAGCATGCCTGTAATCCCAGTTACTTGGGAGGCTGAGGCAGGAGAATTGCTTGAACCCAGGAGGCGGAGGTTGCAGTGAGCAGAGGTTGTGCCATTGCACTCCAGCCTGGGCAATAAGAGTGAAACTCCATCTCAAAAAAAAAATTATAATATACATATACAATGGAGTATTACACAGCTGTGAAAAAGAACGAGGAAGCTATTTATGTACTGATGTATAAAGCTCTCTAAGGTGTGCTGTTATGAAAAAGGTAAAGAAGAGAGCATGTTAACATGTATCCAAAAATTGAGAGGAAGCATATATATATATATCTGATTTTGCCACTGTAAGCATTTAAAACACCAGTGGAATATCCAAGAAATTAAGAAGAGGGGTTACCTATTGGAGGAGAGAACCAGGTAGATATATGGCAGGTGTGGGAGGGAGAGCTCTCACTAAATATTTTTATGCTTTAAATATTTTTAACCGTATGTGTATTACCTATTCAATAATAAATGCACCCATTTGTTAGATATCTTTGTTGAAGATTCATTTGGCTCCTGCTGTCTCTTGCTATGGGATGGACCATGGCATCCCCCCTCTGCCACACAGACAAGGGATTTGGACACTGCCAGTGGGACGTGGGAGGGGAGAGCACCTGACCCGTGATAATAAGGGGCTCGTGGCAGTGATAAGGGCTGGGAGTCAGGGCTCTGGCCCCAGCCACATCCTTGCTGCATGACCCTGGGCCAGCCCCCTCATCTTTGTGAGCCTCAGTTTCCTCATCTGTGAGGTGAAGGTGGTGAAGGAGGTGAAGGATGAGCAGGATCTTATGTCCTTGGTCCTGAGAAGGCAGGAGAGAAGCCTGGGGCTCTGTGTGGGAAGAGCCGCTCTCTGGGGAGGTATCTGAATAGATGAGGGAGAGCACACCGGGCAGCCAATGTGCCAGAGGTGGAGGCTTTGGAGAGTGTTTCATTTGTGAAGTCAACAGATTTAACATTCAGATCAGGAGGACGTTGGCATGAGATGTGGGGAATCATAAGCTCCAAAACAATCGTGAGACAGAAGGAAAGATGGCCTTTTGTTGAGCAGCCATTCTCCTCCACGGAGAGTCCTGTCTAGTCTGCCTGTTGAAGGGGCACTGATGTTAGGGAATAGATCTGTGTCAAATGCTTCCCACCTCCCAGAATCCTGTGAGGCAGGAGTATTATCCCCATTTAAAGAGAGGACACTCAGGCTCAGGGAAGTGACTGGCCCAATGTCCCATAGCTCATAGGTGCCAGAGGTGGGTCATCCACACCAAAGTCATTCTCCTTCCATACCCTGAATGTCACCTTCACGCTGGACCCAGGATCCTGTGTGGTGAACTGTCTCGATCACTTCCCTAAAGGTTAAATCATAAACTCTTACTGCCAAGGCATATCCACGACCTTAAACTCTCCCTGTTGGGCAAAAACAATCTCTGATGTTAAAAGGCAGGATAGTGGATACTTTTCAGGGAAGGGTAAATGACAAGGGCATGAGGGGAACTCTGGGTGCCGGTCATATTCTGTTTTACAGGTTTGTTCAATTTGAGACACTTCATAGAGCTGTAGCCTTGTGCACAGGCACTTTTTTGCATGCATCGTCTGCTTCAATATAAACCTCTTCCTGTTGTCTTGTTTTTGTTTTTGTTTTTGTTTTCTCTTGTTTTCTTGTCCTGCTCTGTCACCCAGGCTGGAGCTCAGTGGTGTGATCTCAGCTCACTGCAGCCCCTGCCTCCCAGGTTCAAGCGATTCTTCTGCTCGGCCTCCTGAGTAGCTGGGATTACAGAGGTGTGCTACCACACCTGGCTTCCCTGTTGTTTCTTTAATGTAGAAAGCCCTGATAGATGGTGGGAAAACAAAGTTTAAGGTATTCATAGAAAAATACAAATACTATTTTTAAGGATTCTATATCTGGCCACATGGTGCCATCTCACGAAGAGTGTCCCCGTCCCTTGAGGGGGAGTGGTCGGGATCATGGTCAGTGTGGGGCCCTGCAGCTGCCTGCTTCCCTATGCTGTGTGGATGACGCCCGCCTCCGGTCATTCCCCTGTGCTTACATAACAGTGAAATGGAACAACCTGTATCAGCACGAGGGCCAAGAATTTTCTTCTGACTTGTGGATACCTCCTTCCTTAGGCCTCTGATCAGTCTGGACAAATATTGCCCTGAACGCAACCAAGCAAAGCCACTCACCTGGTAAATATTTGTATGAGCTACAGTTCTGGAAGAACAAATTCCAATATCCTGCAGTCCCCTTGACATCAAAGACCCAACTCTCCCAGAGGGCAATGGCTTTTTTGTCCACTGAGAAGCCAGTCAGCTTCGAAGAAAGGTGTCTAAATTGGGAGCAAAGGTGGCAATGATGTGGACTTGACTCCAAAAGAAATTTTAAAAAGAAAAGAAGTGCCTTTGCATTTCAGGGGGTCAGTATTGGCATTTTTAAAATGTCAACAAATAAATGTTCATATCCACACTTGACATTCTTTCCAAGGAGAATTTTCTAGAGGAGACAGACCTCATCGGTCAGCTCTGATGCCCTGCAGTGCAAAAAGACATTAAAAATGACGGTAAAGGACCCCTGCAGAGAACAACTGAGTCTCTTCCTTGCCCTGCGTCTCCAGATAAAGGATGCCCTGCATCCATCCCCTCCTGGCTAAGAGCACAGACTCCAGAGGCTTTTTCCTCTCCTGGAGGTTAAAGAGGCATCACATATGTTTAAAATCTTTAATTTATATGTCACCTTTGTCCTTCCTTTTAACTTCATTTTTCTCTTATCCAGCATTTAGGGACTCATCTTTAGGGAGGTTCAAAGGAAAGCTCATGGCCTTTAGAACTGGAAGAACCATGTTCCAGTTGGGACTTGATCATTTACTAATTGTGGGATTACAGCCAAGTCACTTCATCCCTCTGCTGTAAAAAAAAAAAAAAAAACAAAAAAAAACATATGATGACATTTGTGGAATGGCTCCCCAAGCCAAAGAGGGCAAATATTGTCACAGCTCATTTCTTCTCTCAGTTAATTACTTGCGTCCTCGGCTGCCTGGCTGGCAGGACAACCTATATTCGCCTCCCTCTTAAAGCCTCCTGGGTTGGCCAGGACTCCAAGCGGCTTTGTCCAGAATGAGTAGGGTGGTTGGCCTGGCCTCCTCAGCCAATCAGAGAGGACTAGCATCTGAACACTCCTCTGTGCTATTGCTTCTAGCTGCCACATGGGGACGCTGTTGAACACCGGCCTGGTGCAGTTGGCCATATGATGCTTCAGGGTCTTCTGAGACTTCAAGAATGTGCTCACAGGGAAGGTATTAGCTCTAAACACTTGCCTCTGCTAGTTTACATCACAGAACAGACAGACAAGACTGTTTTGCTCCCTCAGCTCTCTCCTTTTCCTAGCTTCAGTCCTGGGGAGCTCAGAAGCTACAGTTTGTTTTTTGTTTTTTGTTTTTGTTTTTTTCTTGAGGGAGTCTTGCTCTGTTGCCCAATCTGGAGTTCAGTGGTGTGATCTTGGTTCACTGCAACCTCCGTCTCCCAGGTTCAAGCAATTCTCCTGCCTCAGCCTCCCGAGTAGCTGGGACTACAGGTGCCTGCCACCATGCCAATCTAATTTCTGCATTTTTAGTAGAGTCAGGATTTCACCATGTTGGCCAGGCTGGTCTTGAATTCCTGACCTCTGGTGATCACCCACCTCAGCCTCCCAAAGTTCTGAGATTATAGGCGTAAGCCACCGCACCCGGCCAGAAGCCACAGTTTACAAATCTGGGGGATTTGGGGCATGGGAACAGAAACAGAAGAGTCCCAATGAAAGGAAGATACCAGCTGAGCTGCCCACTCTCCCAGCTGCAGTTCTCCTGCCCACAGCAGGCCCTAGCTGGGACAGGGAGGAGCCCCAGCCTTAAATCAAATTCAGAATTTTGTTTATGACATAAGACTGCACATCTTAATTACTGAATTAAGACTATATTTTCCAACCTATCATGACTATAGGTGCAGGGCAAGATCAAACTCCAGTGTATGTGGGGCCCGCAGAAGAGATTTAAAGAAACAGTGGGGGCAGAAATAAAGCTGTGTGGTTATCAGATCCCATGAGTCTTGTCTGTAAGGATGATGGTTACAGTCGGGATGCTCCAGAGTGCAAAGCCACATCTCAACCAGAGTTAGTAACAAGGGAGAGTTTACTGGTTCATGTGAGGAAGAGAGAGGAAGGGGAGGGCTAGCCAAGGGGCTGGATGCAGGAAGGAGGGTCCCCAGGGTTCTCTGTCCCCCTCCTGTCTTCCATCTCTGCCTCTCTCAGCAGGTTGGCCTAATTTCCTCCGACTGCAGAGAAGCACACAAGCTGTGGCACCTGGTGCTCAGACTCACACTGCAACACTTCCACCAGTAGATGGCAGAGAGGTACTTTCCTGCCTGTTCAGCCACGAAAATCCCAGGGGATGGCTCTGACTAGCCTAAGTCAGGAACCTGCTGTGGGCAATCACTGTAGCATTAAGATGGGGGCCAGTGATGGAGCCGGTCTGCAGCACATGCTCAGCAAAAGACAAAACCCGCCTGTTTTAGATCACTCCGGCTGCATCACAGAGTGTGGATTGAACAGGCACAGAACTGGAGGCAGAGAAACAAGTTAGGCAGCTGCAGGCATAATCCAGGCAGGAGATGACAGTATTTGAAAGAAGGAGTGGGAGCAAGTCTGGAGAGAAGTCGATGGATCCAAGAGATTTTTAGAAGGTAGAATGTGCAGAACTTAATTAGTTGGTGCAGTGGGTTGAATGGTGTCTCCCTAAAAGATATGTTCACCTGGAACCTCAGCATGTGACCTTATTTGGAATAAGGGCTCTTGCAGAAGTAAGTAAGGTGAGAATCTTGAGGTGAGATCGTCCTGGATTACAGTGGACCTTGTATCCAATGGCAAATGTCCTTATAAGAGACAGAAAAGGAAAAGAAAGAGACACAGGGAAGAAGATGTGAAGATGGAGGCAGGGATTGGAGTGATGCAGCCTCAAGCCGCAGAATGCCTGGAGCCACCAGAGGTTGGGAGAGGCAAGAAAAGGTCCTCCCCTAGAGCCTTCACAGGGAGTAGCGTCCTGCCAACGCTTTGATTTTGAGCTGGTCTCCAGAACTAAGAGAGAATAGATATCTGTTTTTCTAATCCACCAAGTTTGTGGTTATTTTGATGCAGGGCAGGCAAGCCCCCAAATTGGGTTGTAGCCTGAGAGGGTTCTTGGGTTCATTCAGGAAGGAATTCAAGGGCAAGCTGGTGGTATTAGACAGCAACTTCTGTTGAAGCAGCAGTGGACAGCAGCAGCAGAGGTCCTGCTCTTTGCAGAGCAGGGCTACCCCATAGGCAGTGTGCCCAGAGTAGCAGCTCGAAGGCAGTTCTGTAGTCCTATTTACACCCACTTTTAATTATATGCAAATTAAGGGGCAGATTATGCAGAAAATTTTAGAAAAAGAGTGCTAATTTCCAGGTTGTCGGGTTGTTGCCATGGAAAGGGGCCGCAACTTCCGGTGAACTCCATAGTATGTGGCACACACTGGTGGGCGTGTCCCATGGAAAGGTGCTTCCGCCCTGTACCTGTTTTAGCTAGTCCTTAATATGGTCCAGTATCCGCGCCCTGCCTTTGGAGTCAAGTTCAACTTCCTACCTCAATTGATGATAGCAGTTTCTGAAAACTAACACATGTAGATATAAATATAAGTCCTTAAGTCTATCATTATTATGCATATCCTATAGGGGAGTCATCGCGAATGAAACTGAACTTATTGTGGTTCATTCATTCAGATATTTATTTAAAAATATTTATTAAAGCTTACTGTCTGCCAGTCCGATACTGCACTAGGTAAGTGCTGGGGTTACAAACAGAACAAGATAGACAGATTAGTTGCCCGCATGGAACTTATATCTAGTGGGAAGAGAAGCAAAAAAAAAGTAAGCAAGCAATAAACAGTAAAAAAAAAAATACTGGGATTTGAGCCATAAAAAAAGAAATAAGATGCAGAAATCAGCAATAAGGAGGTTGGGGAGAAGATCCTTCTTTAGAAAGAATTGCCAGAGAAGGTGGTTGGGATAGGCAGAAAAAATAGTAATATTCCTCTTTTATCTTCACCTATATTAGATGATCAATAGATATTTCCTGAGAAATGAAGGACTGAGTATATTATAAGAAGGTATGATTAAAAACAATCACCAGAATGAATGGCTAACAAGCACATGAAAAGATGCTCAGAATCATTAGTAATGAAAGAAACACAAATTAAACCACAATGAGATACCACTTCACACATAAAAAGGAATTAACACTTGCTGGTGAGGATGTGGGGAAATGTCATATTTCCCCACAGCAGCCATAGTACACTGCTGGTGGGAATATAATATGATGCATCTGCTATGGAAGAGAATATAGTGGCTCTTCAAAACGTTAATCCTAGAAAGCCTGGGCATGGTGGCTCCCGCCTATAATTCCAGCACTTCGAGAGGCCAAGGTGAGAGGACTGTTTGAGCCCAGGAGTTTGAGAGCAGCCTTGGTAACATAGCAAGACCCTGTCTCTATAAAAATCAAATAAAAAATAAATAGAGGAAAAGCACATTAATCATAGAACTGCCATATCCACCACTTCCACTCCTTGGTATATACCCCAAAGAACTGAAAACAGCTATTCAAAGAAATACTTGCACATGAGTGTTCAGATTATTAACGGAAACCAAAAGGTGGAAATAACCCACATGTCTACCAATGGATGAATCAATAAACAACACATGGTCTATCCATACAGTAGAATATTGTTGAGCCATAAAAAGGAGTGAAGTGCTGGTACATTGCCAGAACATCAAAGACCCTTGAAAACATTATGCTAAGTGAAATAAGCCAGATGCGAAAGGACATGAATTATATGATTTCATTGATATAAAATGTCCAGAAAAGGTAAAAAATATCCATTGAGACCAAAAGCAGATTGTGGTTGCCCCGGACTAAAGAAAGAGTAATTACTTAATTTTCCTGGGGGTTTCCTCTTGGCATGATGTTCTGTATACAGGACATACAAAAAGCCTTTATTTTTTATTCTTAGCAAATACTTAATTAGTACTCACCATGAGCTGGGCATGTTCTAAGTCACTTTCCAATTACTAACAAATCACTTAATTATATTGACACAAAAAGAATGGGCATAATGCATAAAGCAAATACGAACATAAAAAAGAAATCTCCCTATTAATATCATTTATGTTGAATTCAATGCAGGGAGCATTTAAATAAGATAAAGGGAGATACTTCATAATCCACACTGGTCAGCTAACATCATGACTATCTATGCAGAAGATAAACCAGCATCAAAACTCATAAAGAAAAATTTATAGAGAGTAAGAAAAAAATGAAGAAACAGTTTAGAGGTAGGTAATTTGAATTTACTGTTCGGTGCATAAAAGAACAAATAGGCCAGACGTGGTGGCTCAGGCCTGTGGTCCCAGCACTTCGGGAGGCCGAGGCAGGCAGATCTCGAGGTCAGGAGTTCGCGATCAGCCTGACCAACATGGTGAAACCTGTCTCTACTAAAAATACAAAAAATTAGCTGAGTGTGGTGGCGTGCACTGTAATCCCAGCTACTCAGGAGGCTGAGGCAGGAGAATCGCTTGAACCTGGGAGGCAGGCTGGGCGCAGTGACTCACGTCCGTAATCCCAGCACTTTGGGAGGCCGAGGCGGGTGGATCATGAGGTCAGGAGATCGAGACCATCCTGGCTAACACGGTGAAACCTCGTTTCTACTAAAAAAATACAAAAAAATTAACCAGGCATGGTGGTGGGCACCTGTAGTCCCAGCTACTCGGGAGGCTGAGGCAGGAGAATGGCGTGAACCCGGGAGGAAGAGCTTGCAGTGAGCCGAGATTGCGCCACTGAACTCCAGCCTGGGTGACAGAGCAAGACTCTGTCTCAAAAAAAAAAAAAAAAAAAAAGAAAGAAAATACAGGCCACACAGATGGGGAGATGATAATTGCAAGTTATATATTTGATAAAGGACTTTCATTCAGAATATATGAAATAGTCTTACAATTTAATAAAAGAGGACAAACAACCCAGTAAAATGTAGGAAAAATATTTGAACAGATGTTTCACCAAGGAAAAAATACAAATGGCTAATCAGCACATGAAAAGATGCTCAACATCATTTAGTCATTAAGGAAATACGAACTAAAACCACCATAATATATCACTACACACCTGCCAGAATGGCTATAATTTTAAAAAAATGGACAATACTGAGTGCTGGTAAGGATGTGGAAAAACAGAAACTCTCATACCTTGCCAGTGGCAATGTTAAATGATACAGCTATTCTGGAAAACAGTTTGGCATTTTCTTAAAAATTTAAACTTATTATATGACCCAACAATTCCACTCCTAGGTATCTACCCAAGAAAAATAAAAATACATGTCCACACAAGGGGACTTGTGCATAATGTTCATATCAGCCCTATTTGTAATAACACCAAATTGGAAGGAATCCAAATGTCCATTAACTATGAATGGAAAACCAACATTCTTACAAATAATTCAACAATAAACCTTCATGAACCTTAGAAACATTATTCTGAGTGAAAGAAACCAGACACAGAAGACCACAAGGTGTAGGACTGTATTTATTTGACATTTCTAGAGAAAGCAAAACTGTAGAGACAGCAGATCAGTGACTGCCAGGGGCTAGAGACGGAGGCAAGGGTTGATACAAGCAGGCAGGAGGTTGCTTTCTGGGCTGATGGAAATGTTCTTATGCTGGATTGTGGTAATGGTTCACAACTGTATAAATTAACAAAAAATTATCAGACTATACCCTTACAATGGTATGTACATTTCATCCAAGTAACGCTGCTTTAAAATTTGAAATTAAGCACCTAATGATATTAAGAAATGAATAACAAAATAAACCCAAAGAAAGCAGGGGGGAAAAAAAGCAATTGGAAAAGATGAGAGCAAAAATAATGAAAAAAAAAACATCTATAATACATCTAGCGGTTGGTTCCTTGAAGAAAAAGAAAGAAAGAAATGAAAAAATCATTAACTATCCTAATAAAGAAACAAAGGAGAAAGAACAAATATACAAAATAAGAATTGTGAATGAAATAATTGTAGACACAGAGGATATCAAATGAGTGACTCCTCAATCCCTCTGCAAATAGATTCAAAATCTTGACCAAATGGATGATTTTCTAGGAAAATATAAATTACCAAAACTGACCACCAAAGAGATTTTAAAAATCAGAAAATATCGTTTATCACAGAGATGGTAAAAACCTTGATAAAAAGTCATTTACCCAGAGAAGCATCTGGTTCCAACAGCTTTGCAAGTGCATCCTATTAAAACTTTATTGATTGGCAAACGCTAATTTTTTTTAATTTTTATTTTTAATTATACTTTAAGTTCTAGGGTACATGTGTACAACGTGCAGTTTTGTTACATATGTATACGTGTGCCATGTTGGTGTACTGCACCCATTAACTCGTCATTTACATTAGGTATATCTCCTAATGCTATCCCTTCCCCCTCCCCTCTCCCCACGACAGGCCCCAGTGTGTGATGTTCCCCACTCTGTGTTCAAGTGTTCTCATTGTTCAATTCCCACCTATGAGTGAGAACATGCGGTGTTTGGTCTTCTGTCCTTTCAATAGTTTGCTCAGAATGATGGTTTCCAGCTGCATCCATATCCCTACAAAGGACATGAACTCATCCTTTTTTATGGCTGCTTAGTATTCCACGGTGTATATGTGCCACATTTTCTTAATCCAGTCTATCATTGCTGGACATTTGGGTTGGTTCCAAGTCTTTGCTATTGTTAATAGTGCCGCAATAAACATACATGTGCATGTGTCTTTGTAACAGCATGATTTATAATCCTTTGGGTATATACCCTGTAATGGGACGGCTGGGTCAAATGGTATTTCTAGTTCTAGATCCTTGAGGAATTGCCACACTGTCTTCCACAATGGTTGAACTACTTTACAGTCCCACCAACAGTGTAAAAGTGTTCCTATTTCTCCACATCCTCTCCAACATCTGTTGTTTCCTGACTTTTAATGATCGCCCTTCTAACTGGTGTGAAATGGTATCTCATTGTGGTTTTGATTTGCATTTCTCTGATGGCCATTGATGATGAGCGTTTTTTCATGTGTCTGTTGGCTGCAAAAATGTCTTCTTTTGAAAAGTGTCTGTTCATATCCTTTGCCCACTTTTTGATGGGGTTGTTTGATTTTTTTCTTGTAAATTTGTTTAAGTTCTTTGTAGATTCTGGATATTAGCCCTTTGTCAGGTGGGTAGATTGCAAAAATTTTCACCCATTCTGTAGGTTGCCTGTTCACTCTGATGGTAGTTTCTTTTGCTGTGCAGAAGCTCTTTAGTTTAATTAGATCCCATTTGTCAATTTTGGCTTTTGCTGCCATTGCTTTTGGTGTTTTAGACGTGAAGTCCTTGCCCATGCCTATGTCCTGAATGGTATTGCCTAGGTTTTCTTCTAGGTTTTAGGTCGGACATTTAAGTCTTTAATCCGTCTTGAATTAATTTTTGTATAAGGTGTAAAGAAGGGATCCAATTTCAGCTTTTTACATATGGCTAGCCAGTTTTCCCAACACCATTTATTAAATAGGGAATCCTTTCCCCATTTCTTGTTTTTGTCAGGTTTGTCAAAGATCAGGTGGTTGTAGATGTGTGGTATTACTTCCAAGGGCTCTGTTCTGTTCCATTGGTTCTGTTCTGTCTCTGTTTTCGTACCAGTACCATGCTGTTTTGGTTACTGTAGCCTTGTAGTATAGTTTGAAGTCAGGTAGCATGATGCCTCCAGCTTTGTTCTTTTGGCTTAGAATTGTCTTGGCAATGCGGGCTCTTTTTTGGTTCCATATGGACGTTAAAGTAGTTTTTTCCAATTCTGTGAAGAAAGTCATTGGTAGCTTGATGGGGATGCCACTGAATCTATAAATTACCTTGGGCAGTATGGCCATTGGCAAACACTAATGTTTTTAAACTGTTCTAGAGAGCATGGAGAAAGGAGAAAACCTTCCAAATTATTCCTGTGAAGCTTGCATGTCAATGATTCCATAACAATAACTATAGAATCAAATAACCACAATAAAAGAAAAACACAGACCAACTCCACTTATGGATATAGATGTAAATATTCTAAATACAATATTAGCTGATAGATCTAACACTGCATTAAAAGATTTGTGGAAGGAGTTGTTCAATATTAGGAAATCCACTCTGTGATTATCTCAAGTTAGCAATTAGATGTATATTCAATGCTGAAATAACAGAAGCACCCCAGTTTAGTCAGAAATAAGACCCAATTACCCATTATCACCACCACCATTTAGTATTGCACTGGGGAATTACCAATTCAGTTAGACAAGAGTGGGGAAGAGGTACAAAAACTAGAAAGAAGGTGGCAAAAACAATCATTGACTGTATGATTGGAAAAAATAAGAGAATCAATTGCAAAACCATTAGAAAGAGCAGGATAATTCAGGAAGCTCAGGGGGCACAAAATAAATGTTTTTACAAAACAATATCCAAGAATCTATATTAACAACAATATCTTTGAGATATAATTGAATAGAAGATTCCATTTACAATAGGAAACCCCAAAGATAGAACACCCAAGAGTTGCACAAAATTTACACAAAGAAAATCTAAACAACAGAGGGACAAAACGGAAGATTTGACTACATGCAAGTATATTTCCTAGTCTTGGGTAGAAAGACTCATCTGCATAAAGATGACAATCCTTCCTGAATTAATCTATAAATTTAGTATAATTCCAATGGAAATTTCCCTTGTTTTGTTGTTGTTGTGCTGTTTTTGTTTTGTTTTCCAGACTACACTGAATGCCAAATATTCCATTTAGTGATTTTCTTCTTCCCTTTTCCTTTCTAATGACATATTTTGTGCTTTTCAGACCTGCCTTTCTTTCTCTCGGCACCAATGAATAAAGTTCCAGCTTTAAGGCTTGAAAAATCACAGCAAAGTTGCAGCAAAATTAAAAGGAAAAAAATGTTCTTTTTTTTTCCTGCAGCTGCAGAGAGTGGCAGATAGCATCCTGCGTGATAAACGCCTATTCTTGGCTAGGCGCAGTGGCTCACGTCTGTAATCTCAGCAACTTGGGAGGCCAAGGCAGGCAGGTCACCTGAGGTCAGGAGTTCGAGGCCAGCCTGGCCAACAAGGTGAAACCCCGTCTCTACTAAAAATACAAAAATTAGTTGGGTGGTGGCGCACACCTGTAATCCCACCTACTTGGGAGGCTGAGGCAGGAGAATTGCTTGAACCTGGGACGTGGAGGTTGCAGTGAGCTGAGATAGTGCCACTGCACTCCAGCCTGGGTGAAAAGAGTGAGACTCTATCTCAAAACAAACAAACAAACAAACACCTATCCTTGCCTATGTCATTTTAACAAAGGAGGAAGTAAATCCCCTGGATTTCAGAGGCTGATGCTCTGCCCAAGAAAAGCAACCCTAACTTCCCCAAAGGCTAAAATTCAGACTGATTGGCTCTGGCAGAGATATTTAAATTGATACCTCTGTTTCCTCAAAGGTATAAGCCTTTGCGAACTTTCTTTGGTTTCTCTCTTCTCTCACAGGAGGCAGGGGATAAACAAATATGTTAGATTTCTTATTTAAACAAAGAGCTTGAGGGTTTTGCCTCATCGAAATTAACAGAGACAAGTTGATGCTAATATTTTTATGGAAAATCGAATATGCAAAAATAGCCAAGGAAATTCCAGGGAAAAAGTAATGAAAGAAAATATCACCAAAAGATGTTAAAACATTTTGGAAAGCCACAGAAATTAAAAGTGTTTGATCCTAGCATATAAACAAGCAGACAAGGGGCTGGGCATGGTGACTCATGCCTGTAATCCCAGCACTTTGTGAGGCCGAGGCTGGTGGATCACCCGAGGTCAGGAGTTCGAGACCAGCCTGGCCAACATGGTGAAACCTCGTCTGTACTAAAAATACAAAAATTAGCCAGGCATGGTGGCACGCACCTGTAGTCCCAGCTACTTGGCAGGCCGAGGCAGGAGAATTGCTGGACCCTGGGAAGCAGAGGTTGCAGTAAGCCGAGATTGCACCACTGCACTCCATCCTGGGCGACAGAGCAAGACTCTATCTCAAAATTAAAATAAACAAACAAACAAATAAATAAATAAACAGGCAGATAGATCAGTGGAACAGAATAAAATCCAGAAATAGACTGAAAACATTCAGGAAAACAGTATAAAATAAAGGGGACATTTCAAATCAATGGAGAAAAGATTAGTTATCTCAGAAATGAATGGGACGATTGAGTAGACTGGGAAAGAGTAAAACTGGAGCTCTACACACACCAAAATACATTCCAGATGGGGCTAAGATTTTATATATCTATATATGTTTAAATAAAGCCATGAAAGAACTAGAGCAAACATGAGAGATTTATTTTTATAATCCCAGACGGTGGCAATCTTTCCAAGTGTGGCACAAAAGTCAGAAATCATTAAAAAAAGACTGATAAATCCAACTACACAAAGTTAGACATTTCTTTATGGCAAAAAATGCTATCAAAAAGTCAAGAGATCAATGATAATGGGGGAAACATTTGTAACACATACAATAAGCTGTCCAATTTTTTAATAGTCAAAGACTTTAACATTAAGAAACAGACCAGCTGGCTGGGCATGGTGGCTCGAGGCTGGGGGATCACTTGAGGTCAGGAGTTCAAGATCAGTCTGGCCAACATGGCAAAACCCCGTCTCTACCAAAAATACAAAAATTAGCTGGGCATGGTGGGGCATGGTGGTGCATGCCAGTAATCCCAGCTACTCAGGAGGTTCTTCTGGCTTCTCAGCTTGCAGACAGCCTATTGTGGGACCTTATGATTGTGTGAGTTAATACTTAATAAACTCCTGTTTATATTATGTGTGTGTGTGTGTATATATATGTGTGTGTGTGTGTGTGTGTATACACACATATACTGGAATATATGTATATACATATATACATATATACACATACATATATATACACATATACATATATACACATATATATACACATATACATATATACATATATACACGTATACATATATACATATATACACATATACATAAATACATATATACACATATATATACATATACTATATATATACATATACATATATTCATTCCATTAGTTCTGTCCCTCTAGAGAACCCTGATGAATACAGTGGGCTACACACCTATTGGAATGGCCAAAACCCAGAACACTGACAACACCAAATGCTGGTAAGGATGTGGCGTTTTTTATCCGCATTCATTGCTGATGGTAATGCAAAATAGTGCAGCCAGTTTGGAACACAGTTTGGCAGCTCTTTACAAAACGGCGTGTACTCTTACCATACGATCCAGAAACTGTATTCCTAGGTATCTACCCAAAGGAGTTGAAAACTTGTAACCACACAAAAACTTGCACACAGATGCTCATAGCAAGCTTTATTTATTATTGCCCAAACTTGGAAGCAAACAAGATGTCCATCAGTAGGTGAATGGATAAATAAACTGTGGTGTATCCACACAGTAGAATATTATTCAGTGCTAAAAAGAAATGAGCTATCAAGACATGAAAAGACATGGAGGAAACTGAAATGCATATGACTGAGTGAAAGAAGCCCTTATGAAAAGCTACATACTGTATGACTCTAACTATGTGACATTCTGAAAAAGGCAAAACTATGGTGAAAACATCAGTGGTTGCCAGCAGTTGAGACGGGTGGGGGGAAGATAACCAGGTAGAGCATAGAGGACTTTAAGGGCAGCGAAAATGCTCTGTATATTACTACGATGGTGGATACATGTCATTATACAGCAGGTCCTTGGATGACACTATCTCATTCAACATCATTTTGCTATAAAGTTGATGAGAAAAAAAAGTCAATTCCTAGCCAGGCCACTGTCTCTGTGGAGGGTGTGCGTTCTCCCCATGTCTGTGTGGGTTTCCTCTGGGTCCTCCAGTTTCCTCCCACATCCCAAAGCTATGCACGGTAGGTGAACTGGCATGTCTACATGGTCCCAGTGTGAGCGAGTGTGGAAGTGGGTGAGTGTGCCCTATGATGGAAGAGGACCCTGTCCAGGGTTGGTGTCTGCCTTGACCCTGTGCCTCTGGGATGGGCTCTGCCATCCACAGCTCTGAAGTGGAATAAGCCAGTCAATAATATTCTCGCTTGTTTTTTGTTGTTGTTGTTGTTTGTTTGTTTTTGTGACAGAGTCTCACTCTGTTGCCCAGGCTAAAGTGCAGTGGCACTAACTCGGCTCACTGCAACCTCCACCTCCAGGGTTCAAGTGATTCCTGTGTCTCAGCCTACTGAGTAGCTGGGACTACAGGCATGCGCCACCATGCCCAGCTAATTTTTGTATTTTTAGTAGAATCAGGATTTTGCCACGTTGGCCAGGCTGGTCTTGAACTCTTGACCTCAGGTGATCTGCCTGCCTCAGCCTCCCAAAGTGCTGGGATTACAGGCGTGAGCCACCGTGCTCAGCTTTCACTTGTTTGTATTAATCTTTCCTAAATGTATGTATGGCTCACATTTATTTCAATGTTTAGTATTAGAAGTGTTTGAGGTCTTTGTAAGTTTGGTGATGTTTTGTGACCAGAAACAGGCCATAGGAACTTAACTCTTGTTTATATTAATTAGCTTATGGTAAAATTGGATAAATGTTTTATAAGAGACATGAAAGGGCATACAGACACACAGGAGAGAAGGCCACGTGAAGATGGAGGTGGAGGAGACAGTGATGCAGCCACAAGCCAAGGGATGCAAGCGGCCACCTGCAGTTGAGAGAGGCAGGAAGGATCCTCAGAAGGCATGGAGCCTACGAGGAAGCCTGGCCCTGCTGGTACCTTAATTTTGGACTTCCAGCCTCCAGAACCATGAGAGATTACATTTCTGTTGTTTGAAGCCACTGATTTTTGTGGTCATTGGTTATGGCAGCCACAGGAAATAAGATAATCACCCACTTAATTTTCCTAGAAAAGCTGTGTTTTGAAAGTCCTCTTGAAGCCTGGGTTCCTCTCTCTGCATCTCCCAGTTTTCCCTCAAAGCTTGTGGATTCTCCATTCCTCACATTAACTCAGGCCTTTCATTGCCAAGTGACCCCGAGTCCTGCCTTCGCGGGTGCTGGGGGAGCCTTCCTGACCCACTGGAAGTGGACCTGCCCATCTCCTTGCTGTGAAACTGCATGAGGGGGCTTGTGTCTGAGGATTGTCTGGCGTGAGGGGAGAGACACCACGTGGGGACAGAGGAGTGGATGAGCAGGCCGGGGCATGACGGGGCCGTGACAGGGACCTGGCCTTCCATTCTGTGGAAGCCTGAGACAAGCAGCAACTTCTCTCATTCCTCCTCTCTATGACAAGACAGGAACTGGGACACTCACCTTACTACCCTAATTCGCTGAGCCTCGGAAGAAAAGCAGCTTAGATTTTTAATCCCATCCAAGATGGAGGCCCTCCTGCTCCTGCTGCCTTGTTCTCACCCCCTTTCGTGATGTGCGAGGCCATCGGAAGGTGTGGAATTTCTCCACTGATTCCTCTCATTGTCCCTTTCTCCCTACTCCTGGGGAGGCTGCAATGGTGACCTCATCCACCTTCAGAGGCAGGTGCTGGAGGAGGAAAGGATGTGGGAGTTCAAGCCGGCTGCAGAGGCCCAAGAGCCCAGATGGTGTCCTTCCAGCAAACTGGAGAGGCACTCCTCCTACCAGGCAGCCACTGCCCCACTCCAGGGCCCCTGGCTCAGCTAGGGAAGTGGGGCTGGGTTTCACCCCCTGCTCATCCCCTAAGGCCCAGTGCTGGACTCAGTGCAGCACCTGCCCAGCCATCTCTAGCAGCGGCATAAAGCATAAAATCAAGGCCAATGTTACGTGCTGCCTTGACATGTGGTAAAATGTGAAGGGCCTCAAGTGGCCTAAATGCAAGCTCCTGTCCCACCTCTGCTCCCATAAATAGGGTCTCCCAGCTGGGCAACCCTTCTCATCCCAGGGACCAGGTACCACCCCTGTTTGTTGCCAAGTAGCAGGCTTCAGTTCCCTGCCAGTCTGCGGAATTATTTAACAACCTCATGAAGAAACCAGGGGCCACTCCACCCTCTGTATTAGCCTGTTCTCAGGCAGCTAATAAAGATACCCAAGACTGGGTAATTTATAAAGAAAAGAAGTTTAATTGACTCACAGTTCCACATGGCTTGGGAGGCCTCAGAAAACCTACAATCATGGTAGAAGGGGAGGCAAACATGTCCTCCTTCACGTGGCAGCAGGAAGGAGAAGTGCTGAGCAAAAGGGGGAAAAGTCCCTTATAAATCCATCAGATCTCATGAGAATTCACTCACTGTCATGAGAACAGCATGGAGGTAACCCCCACATGATTCAATCACCTCCCACTGGGTCCCTCCCACGACATGTGGGGATTATGGGAATTACAATTCAAGATGAGATGTGGAAGGGGTCACGGCCAAACCATATCACTCTTGTTACTACCAAACCTGCTGTCCAACAACCCTGCTGTTCACTCTGCTCTTGAGCACCACCTCATGTGGCCCTGCATAGCCTGCAGTGGCCCTTCCCCTGGGCTACGAGTATATGTGACTAGAAAATTGCCGTGGGTCTCACCTATCCAGTGTTGGGTGTTGTGTGTCCAGCCCTAGAGTGGGACTCCTTCCCTCACGAATGGGGTGAATAGAAGGTGATAAAAAGATCTGAGTCTAGGGATACCTAGGAGGTGGAATCTCTTCTCCATGCATAGCATGAGTGATCACAGGCCTGAAACCAAAAGGGACTTAGGTCTGGGGGAGAGATTATTTTCCAGGTGCTGAATATTCCTGGGATAGGGGAGGGAGCTAAACAGGTTCCTGCCCAAAGGAAGTGAGAAGGGGGTCCTAGCAACTTCTCAGGGATTTAGAGCTGTGACTCCAGGGCCTTTGTTCAGAGGAGCTACCTTGCAAGGAACTTCTAGAAGAATGCTTCTCTTTCTCAGCATCCATCCTCCCATTTCATAGTCGTGCCCACGATGGGCCCCGTCTCCCTGAACTTGATGGCTGAATAGAAGTGTAGCCTCCCAGGGGCATCTAAAGGCACTCAGAGCCCCTTACCCAGCCCCAGCAGGCACCTGCCTGGCTGCCCGGTCCTCAGGGTTCCCTGTGCATTGAGCAATATCCTCAAAGTGACCACCAGGGGGCAGCAGCACCCAGACTGCCTTCCACTGCACCTGCAGATCAACAAATTCCAGTATTTTGGGGGAATATCTGTGATAACTTGGCTACTGCTTTACTGACCTCAGGTAAATAGACAGACCAATGTGCTTGAGGAGCCAATTGCTTTAAATCTCCTGACTCATTTTTTGTATTAAGATTTGTTTTATTTATGCAATTATTCTGTTTACTCAAAGACTTTACCAGAAGCTGGGTGCAGTGGCTCATGCCTGTAACCCCAGCACTTTGGGATGCCAAGGTGAGAGGATCGTTGGAGCCCAGACATTGGAGACCAGCCTGGGCAACATAGTGAGACCCCATCTCTACAAAAAATTTAAAAATTAGCTGGGCGCCACTCATGGTGGCTCAGGCCTGTCATCCCAGAACTTTGGGAGGCCAAGGCAGGTGGATCACCTGAGGACAGGAGTTCGAGACCAGCCTGGTCAGCATGGTGAAACCCCGTTTCTACTAAAAATACAAAAATTAGCTGGGTGTGGCGGTGGGCACCTGTAATCCCAGCTACTCGGGAGGCTGAGACAGCAGAATTGGTTGAATCTGGGAGGCAGAGGTTGCAGCGAGCCGAGATTACACCACTGCACTCCAGCCTGGGCAACAGAGTGAAACTCAGCCCTCCATCCCGACCCCAGAAAAAATTACCTGGGCATGGTGGTTTGAGTCTATAGTCCCAGCTACTCAGGAGGCCAAGGTGGGAGGATAGCTTGAGTCTGGGAGGGTGGGAGTCTGGCTTGAGTCTGGGAGGGCGAGGCTGCAGTGAGCTATGATTGCACCACTGTACTCCAGCCTGGGTGAGAGAGCCAGACCCTATCTCAAAAAAAAAAAAAAAAAGTACCAGCCCCTATCTACCCATTCATAGCTTTATGTCCATTTCTTTTGTCTTCAAGCACTGGTATCCTTTACTTATCTCTCCTCACCTGATCTAGTGTTTACATCTCATTTGCGCCCATAGAGAAGTCATACACTGATGTGGATTTTAGATAGGGCACGCTCTCAAGACAGCCACATGTATTATTCTGTGCTCACACAGCCTGGCCTGGAGATGCAAAGATTATGGAATCCAGAATCTAAATGAGAGGATCAGATTAATGGGATGTTCTCACAGTGTCAGGTGAGGACAGCCTGATGCAGCCTTTCATCATGAGGCTGGGACCTCTGGGTCCCTTGGCCCCAGGACCACACTCGAGGACATGCCTGTTCCTGCCAACATGGCTGGGCAGAGTTCCTCTTTTCTTTCCTTTTCTTTTCTTTTCTCTTCTCTTCTCTTCTTTTCTTTTTTCTTTCTTTTCCTCTTTTCCTTCCTTCCTTCCTTCCTTTCTTCTTTCTTCTTTCTTTCTTTTCTTTCTTTTTCTTTTTCCTTCTTTCTATTTTTTTTTGAAATGGAGTCTTGCTCTGTTGCCCAGGCTGGAGTGCAGTGGCACACTCTTGGCTCACTGCAACCTCCACCTCCCGGGTTCAAGCGATTCTCCCACTTCAGGCTCCCAAGTGGCTGGGATTACAGGCACCCACCACCACACCCAGCTAATTTTTGTACTTTTAGTAGAAATGGGGTTTCGCCATGTTGGCCAGGCTGGTCTCAAACTCCTGACCTCAGGTGATCCACCCGCCTAGGCCTCCCAAAGTGTTGGGATTACAGGCGTGAGCCACCACACCCTAGCCCTGAGTCTGTTTATGCTTCTGTCAGGTGTGGCATGGGCCTGCCTGGGAGCTATTCTTTTTCTGTAAAGCACAGGCAGTTAATCAGTGGTCTCTGGGAAGAATCCAGCTCAGGGTTATATTTCGTTTGACCCACTCAAGTTTTAAAAAGTAAATTAGTTGCCAATGTGCAAACATTAGAAGAGTTCACAGCTTCTCCAACAATACCTAGAAGTTCATCCGATGGTGCCCGCATTCCCTGCTCTGTCTAGATGGTGCCCACATTCCCTGCTCTGTCTAGATGGTGCCGACATACCCTGATCTGTCCAGACAGTGCCTACATTCCCTGCTCCATCTGGATGGTGCCCACATTCCCTGCTCTGTCCAGACGGTGCCCACATTCCCTGCTCTGTCTGGACGGTGCCCACATTCCCTGATCTGTCCGGACAGTGCCCACATTCCCTCCTCCGTCCGGAAGGTGCCCACATTCCCTGCTGTGTCTGGACGGTGCCCACATTTCCTGCTCCGTCCAGACAGTGCCCACATTCCCTGCTGTGTCTAGATGGTGCCCACATTCCCTGCTCCGTCCAGACAGTGCCCACATTCCCTGCTCTGTCTAGATGGTGCCCACATTCCCTGCTCCGTCCGGACGGTGCCCACATTCCCTGCTCCATCCGGACGGTGCCCACATTCCCTGCTCCGTCCGGACGGTGCCCACATTCCCTGCTCCGTCCGGACGGTGCCCACATTCCCTGCTCTGTCCAGATGGTGCCCACATTCCCTGCTCCATCTGGACGGTGCCCACATTCCCTCCTCTGTCTAGACAGTGCCCACATTCCCTGCTCCGTCCGGACGGTGCCCACATTCCCTGCTCTGTCTGGACGGTGCTCACATTCCCTGCTCTGTCTAGACAGTGCCCACATTCCCTGCTCCATCCAGACGGTGCCCATACTCCCTGCTCTGTCTAGATGGTGTCCACATTCCCTGCTCCGTCTAGACTGTGCCCATATTCGCTGCTGGCTGCAAATGCGAGGAGTTGACAGCAGCCTCCCCTTTACAAGGCAGGAGGTGCCACTGTTCGCCATTGTCTCCACCTAGGGCTTCACTTGCTTTCTATCTGCAGACATCAGAGGGACCCACATCTCTCTGTTCTGACACGCTGTGTGTTGATGGCAGAGTTTAATTATCCACATGCAATCTTACTTTCCTTATTCCCAAGTCCGTGGGGCTGCCTCATCAAAGCATTGTAAGAACTGATAACCATCTTCTAGAAGTATCATAGTGATATTAAGAACACACATCACAGATCATAGTAAATGGCTTTAATTTTTTAACGAAATCTCACTACTGCAAATGCATTGTTGTCCTAGCTAATGAATGCACAGAGTATTGCCTGCAAAATAATAATTGAGATTCTATTTTTAAGAAGCTTAGAACAGTACATGGTGCATAGCAAAGACTCTGTGTATGTGAAGCCAGATTTTAAAATATGGTAACAAGTGTCTGAAAATATGTGGCTCAATTTGTCTCCCGGTTACTTTTCCCTCTCCCCCTTTAAAATGTAGAGGAAGGAGAAGAAGAGATAAGAGGTTTGTGAGTGAAGACAAGGGCCCTTTAAGGCCTGGGAAGACTAACGCCATAGGGATCTCCCTCTGCCTTAAAAGGCACAGGAATCTTAGTGGGGAAAAAGAAGTGGTGATAAATAGCCAGTCCGTGTGCCTGGAATATCAAAGTCAGTGCGTGCCAGGGATCACACTGCGGGTCACGTGCACTCTGGGTCTCTCTCTGCAAACCTGCCCTGCCTCAGTCTGGGAATATGCAACTGCCTAAGAAGGGTCTGGCTTACACAGGGGCCGTGAGACGTGGCAGGCATAGCTGGGCTGCTACTGGTCATGAATCCTGGACACGGCAGGCAAGGTGTGGTGTCCATATGCATTATTCGGGTGGGGCAAAGATCACAGCTCTCACTAGACTTTCAGAGGACTTTGTAACCCAAAGAACCACTCATCTCAAGGACTGTGGTAACTCAGGGGCTGAGCCATGCCAGTGTTTATTATGTGAAACAAGGACTGGAACCTCACAAGACCAAGTCTGTCCATTTGAGGATGGCCCAAGATGCACACGGGCTGCTTTTATCTTATGCGCAGGTTTTAAAAAAATATGTTTCATTTAAATATTCCATACTCTTCAGGAATGCCCAGGCAGCTGAGCTTTCAGGATGTCGCATTGCAGAGGACTCCAATGCTACATATGGCAGCTGGAGACCCTTTCAAGGCAGGTGGCAGAACGGAGGCCCTCTCTATCTGCTGGGGCAGCCCCTCCGGGTGCCCCGCTGGAAGGCAGAGCAGCTCCATCTCTGGGTGGGTGAGAGGTGCTGCATGGGCTCACTATAGTATCCCAATACTGTATGGCAGTAGGCTGCCAGAGTATCCTAAGCTGGGTGGCTTCAACAACAGGTACTGACTCACAGTTCTGGAGGCCAAAAGTTTGAATTCAAGCAGGGCTGTGCTTCCTCTGAAACCTGTGGGAGAGGAGCCTTCCTGGCTTCTTCCCGACTTCTTGGGATGGGGATGCGCATCCATCCTCGGCCTTCCTTGGTTTGTGGCTGTGTCACTGCACCCTCTGCCTCTGTCACGGCATGGTGCCCTCCCTATGCATCTGTGTCTGAATTTCCCTCTTCCGATAAGGACTCCAGTCATATTGGGTGAGGGCCCACCCCAATGACCTCATCTCAACTAGATCATCTGCAAAGACTCTATTTCCCAATTAGGTCACATTGAAGGTACCTGTCTTTTTGGGGGATACAATTCATCTCACAAAACCGGCCCATCACCTCAAAAGGACCTGCCACCCCAGTGCTATGTGTCCCTCTCTGCCCAGAGCCACTCCTTCCCCTGGCTCTCGGGGAGTGGGGGCACCTTTCCCTGCTCCCACAGTGACCGAGCACCTTCCCCTTGGTATGCATTCTGAAGGGGGCATTTTTTTCTCCTCCATCTCAGCCCTGTACAAAGCAAGTTCTTTCTAGATTGAGGTGTGTATGTGTGTCTATGTATATGAGTGTATGTGCCTGTGTGTTTTCAGGGAGATGTGTGCAGGATGGGTGCAAGGGAGGAGTGGAAGGCGGAAGGGCAGGAGGAGGATAGAGCCACAAGAGTGAGCACAGAAGTGACAAGGGCAGAATCAGTGTGTGCTTGTGACAAGTATGGAAATGTCATGCCTTTAGGTTCAGTCCTATAAGGTAGGTGTATCAGTAAGGGCATTGATTCTGCGACCTTAACAGAGATCAGAATAACAGTGGCTTAAGGAAGAGTGGAGTGGATTTCTCTCTCCTGTAAATCTGGCCTGGTGGGTGGTAAGGAGGATCCACGTCGCCCAGGCCCAGATGTGTGTGGCTCTTTGAGTGCCCCATTCTTTCCCAGTCTCATAACTGCTCTCCACCTCCTCCACATCCAGCCACTGGGAAGCAGGACAAAGTTAGTTAAGGGCACGTTCTTTTCTTTCCAAGGATTACTTGGACATTACAGTCTTCACTTCCATGCCTACTGGCCAGGGCTTAGTCACACAACCTTGCTAGCTGCAAGGGAGTCTGGGAAATGCAGCTGCTATTCTCAGAGGCCATGTCCTCAGGGATTCTGCTAAATTTAGCAAGGCAGGGACAGATATGGGGGAACCACTGACAGTCTATCACAAAAGAACGTGATTTTAGAGAAACAGTGAAACAGTGTCATTAATCCACCCCCCACCCCTTACAACAGCCAAAAAGAAATCCAGTGGTATCCATCACAATAAAGAGTATGAGAGGAATGTGATTAGAAAATCAGGTTGCCAGGCAGGATGTGTCCAGTTTTAGCCAGTGGTGGGGTTCATGGGGAAGGCTTCGTCTCAGGAAGGTGTGTGTTGGGTTGTTCTATGGCCAGATGGTTTTCAACGACATAGCACGACCTGTAGCTCTCCAGGACCCGGGCCTGGACATAGGCCTTGTCCTTCTCTTGCCAGGCATTGGACTCGATGTAGACGTTGAATGGGTCGTTCGAGTGCTCCAGCTTCTTGGAGCGGATGTAGCTCAGCATGATGCCCAGGGTGAAGAAGCCGAAGAATCCCAGTACCATGAGGACGTAGAGGGCCTCCAGCTTGCCGTCACCGCTGCGGGGGGACCTGCGGGCCAGGCCCGACATGTTGCCACCCTGCTGAACTGTCTCCTGCCACAGCTTGGTCAGAAAGGGCGTCACCGCTGTGGTGTTAGACAGGATCATCCTGGGCATTAAGGTTCCACTGCTGCAGCTCAAACTTCCCAGGCACACCTCTTAAAGGAAAAATGCAACCCCAAATCAAAAAGTACGTATTGGCCAAAACCCACACGTACGCACACACACGTATACAATTTTAAAATCTCAGGTGAGAGGGGTGAGCTGACACTCCACAGGCCATGGCGTGTGCCATCTTGGGTCTGTGCAATGCCTTCTCTTGATAGATGAATGGATACATTGATTCCCTTCTATTTCCATCCACCACTCCAATCTCCACCCCTATAGGTGACCATCAGAATGAGCTTCTTTAATATGCATTGCTGCATATTGTGGCGTATGGGGTCGCATGTGTGCATTTTGGTTTACCTAAATGGTATCAGGTCATCCAACTCATTCAGTCTCCTTCTTTTTCCTCATGACTGTGCTTTTGTGGCTCACTTGTGGTGCTGGGTGTGTGCATTCCCTTGCTTCCAATGTTTGTATACAACCCATGGTGAACACCCACTTCTTTTCTCTGCCTTCTCCCCCAGAGATGGACACTGCTGTGGCTGCTGACTCCATAAACAAGGGGGAGACAAATATCCCCATCCTTGACCTCCTATGGACCTAAAAAAAATCACGCATCTCATACAACTAGTTCCTGGCGGCTTATGCAAGACTAGTCAGACTGGTTGCCCTTGGAAGCAACGTGCAATTGGTGGTCTGTTTCACCACAGAGCATCTCTCTATGAACAGTTACATTCATCTGAATGAAAAATCTATGCTGTCACGTGGTGGACTTCAGAATGTCTAGGGAGATTTCACAGAGAGCTCCCCTCGAAGAGGCCAGTGCTGTAGCTTGTGCTATGTTTTTCCCTCCCTGCCCACACACAGGCACACACACGTACACAATCTTAAAACCTCAGGTGAGAGGGGTGAGCTCACATGCTCCCTAGTCCATGGTATGTGCCGTCTTGGGTCTACACAATGCCCTCTCTTGATTGAGCAATGGTACATGGATTGCCTTTTATTTCCATTCACTACTCTCTGGCTATGCAGAAAGTGACATTTTCCCTATCGTTTAATCTTGATATCACTGTCCCTGTATACTCAGAGTGGGCCTGGGAATTGGAAAAATTGTCTCCAAGTAGCTGTAAGATTCTGTCAGGGGTTTGGTTTGCTGTGGAAACCCCATCTAGGTGACCTTGAGATCATTGGTAAGCTGAAAAAAAACAGGTCTTGTTTTTATTTATTTATTTATTTATTTATTTAGGTTTGAGCAAATGCCAGCCTCTACCCCCAGTTCCTGCTGGGAAACAAAAGCTCCGAGGCCAAGTTGTTGATGTCACATTCCAAACTCAAGCCAGAGGGGGCCACTGGGAGCTTATCACACGTAAGTGCTCCCACTCAGTTCTTTCTTTTTCTGTTTTATTGAGACAGGGTCTCACTCTTGTCACTCAGGCTGGAGTACAGTGGCACAATCTTGGCTCACTGCAGCCTCAACCTCCTGGACTCAGGTGATCCTCCTACCCTACCCTCCAGAGTAGATGGGACTATAGGTATGCACCACCATGACTGGCTAATTTTCGTATTTTTTGCAGAGGTGAGGTTGCCCTATGTTGCCGAGGCTGGTCTTGAACTCCTGGGCTTACAGGATCCGCCCACCTCGGCCCCCCAAATTGCTGGGATTACAGGCATGAGCCACCCTGCTTGTCCCCTGCTCACTTCTTAGGAGCTTAAAGTAGCTGAGTAGAACATGGCCTGGAGTAGAACATGGCCTCGGGGGGACTGTTGTAACTACAGGTGAAGGATGTATTTGGGAAGACAGTTTATGGCCAGAATCGCTATGGAAAGACAAATTCCAACACTTGCCAGGACGGCGCTGTCTTTCCCAGCCAGGATGGGGACTGTGACATTGCACATCATCTTGTGTAGGACAAATAACCTCAGAAACCTAGCTCCTCTCCAGCTTAGACCCAGAGCTATTTCTTCATTGAATTGGTTTAATTGTAAAACATACCCTGAACCCAGCACCAGCTGAAGACATCTGGCACCTTTCCGAGGCCCCTCTTCCTCTACCCATCTCTGAACTGTGGCTGTGTCTCAGAGTTCTGTTACCTGCTCTCTTCTCTTCCTACTCTCCTCTCTCCCAGGGTGACTGCACCTGCTCCAGGCTCACCTGCATGGCCATGACCCAGGGCTCTCTTTAAGCTCCAGAGCCATGCGTCCAGTGACCTGCTAAGGAGATGGTTCCCTTTGGCCATCCCCAGGCTCCTTAAAGTTAACACTCCACCCTGTCCTGTCAGAGACTGGCCCCTGCCTCACTGAGCTGAGTGGCAACACCACTCACTCCAAAATCTGCATCACTCTCACTGATGACTGCAATCTCATCATGGCAGTTCCCATCTTGAAGGCCTTCCTTGGCTCCTCCCTGCCTTCAGGGTGAAACTCCTGGTCTTCTGCATGGATACAGGCCCTAAATTTGAGAGTCTATGCATCCCTCTCCAATTCCACTGTTGCCACTGTGCCCAGACCCTATGCTCCATGGTCCCTGCTGGCCCCAGAGCCTCTACACATTGTGCGTCTCCAGCTCAGACTGCGCCTTCTTCTTGGCCCATGAAACTTCTCAGCAATGCCTACTCATGCTTAAAATTCAGCCCAGCTCTCACCTCCTTCCCGAAGCCTGCTCTGATACATGGGGCTGGATCAGCACTGTGCACACCATGACCCCTGCTAACCTCATCATGGTCAGGATCTCCAGGCCCCTTATCCCATCCCTGCCCTGCCATCCAGCCTGGTGCTGGGCACGCAACCACACAGGAGCTGCCCATGAATGTTTATCGAATAGATGCCACCAGAACTTAATACCTTTTGACCAGTGGGGCTTGACTCTTTATAACCTGCTTACTCCAATGAACAGATGCCAATGAGCTGTCTCCGAAGCTCTAACTGACTCCCTTTTCCAGAAGGGCAGTCATCTCCCACCCTGAACCACAGTCTCAGAAGGCAGGAGTGAGGAGCAGAAAGAGCTCAGATTTTGGGATTCCACTGCCGCCACAGGTTTGGATTCTAGCTTTGCTACTTCCTGGCCACATGATCCTGGACAGTTTCCTTAGAATTGTTCAGTCAAGTTTTTTTTTTTTTTCTTTCCAAAGTAGCGAGAAACACCACTGACATTTGCGGGCTGTTGAATCCCTGAGCAGGTGTGTAGAGTGGCTGACAGCATGTGGCACATGGCAGGTGCACACTCAGTGGTCCTGGGTAGGAGTTTATTGGTTTTTCTACCTCATTAAGAAATTGCTGCCCAAGGATTTGGGGCTTTGGGGGTTTAGGCTTGGCTTTCCTGTGGCTGACCATGGCGGCTGTCTTCTCTACGTTGTGGAGAGATCAGACATGAATGAGAATCAAAGATTGTTTGTGGCCTTTCCTGGTTTCTAGGCTTTTGAGTCTGTGCAGAGATCTGTCAGGGGTTAAGCTGCCTGGGCTCAAGAGATTCAGGTCCTTGTTCTTGTACAAAACTAGCATTTAGCCCCATTCTAACCATCGGGGTAGGCAGGAATTGTTTGGTAACAGATCCAAACTCAACGCTCAACCATTTCTTTTTAAATGACCCGAAACCACTTATGAATGCATAAAACCCTGCCCCAGAAAACAGACAGACCTGGACCTGATACTATGATGTAATTTCCAAAAACCCAGAATGATCACAATTGGCAAATAATTCTGCCACCAATCACTGTTAGAGAGTCTTTCCAACTTCATGACCATGTGAGGGTAGAATTATGGCAGGCGACATTTGAAGATCCACAAGTTAATTGGTTTAAAACTGATAAATCCATACAGCAAATTAAGAGTTACATCTGCAATTAATTCATAATAGTGAGTTCACTGAGAAGGCTTGTTACTTAGATCCAGATGGACTTTCTTATGTCCAAAGAAGCAACCAAAAACATCTGCTTTGAAAACCTCCCAAGCCCAAACCATCCTCAGCCTTGTTCTTTAGAATGCTTTAGAATGACCTTGTTAAAATGCAGATTGCTCCTGTAATCCCAGCACTTTGGGAGGCCAAAGCAGGTGGATCACTTGATGTCAGGAGTTTGACACCAGCCTGGCCAACATACTGAAACCCCGTCTCTACTAAAAATACAAAAATAAGACAGGCGTGGTGGCGGGCACCTGTATTCCCAGCTATTTGGGAGGCTGAGGCAGGAGAATCACTTGAACCCAGGAGGTGGAGGTTGCAGTGAGCCAAGATTGTGCCATTGCACTCCTGCCTGGGTGACACAGCGAGACTCTGTCTCAAAAAAAAATGCAGATTGCTGGGCTCTATTTTCAGAGTTTCTGATTTGGTAGAACTGGAGCAGGCCTGGGAATCTGCATTCCTAACACATTCCCACGTGGTGCTAATACTGCTGGTCTGGAGGCCCTGCTTGGTGATCTATTGGAATCACCGGGGGAGCTTTTAGAAAATAATGGTTCCTGGATCTCACCCCTAGAGATTTTAATGTCTTTGGTCTGGGTTCCTGCCTGACTCAGAGACTTTTTAGAAACCTCCCAAATGATCCTAATTTGTAGCCAAGATTGAGAACCACTGGGCTGTGGTGTGGGACCCTAGGAAAATGACCAATGGCCTTTTGTGCTGCAGGGTACCTGGAAGAATTTTGCAAAAATATAGAAATATGATCTCACTGACTGTTTTTCAAATCTTGTTTGTTTTTTACATTTTCTTTTTTGGCCTTGTTTGCCTCTGATACAGTCTGAAAAGAAATTGCAGAAAGAAACTCTCCAGTCTTCAGTGTAACCTCAGCTGTCCCCAGTCTCACACACGCTGGTGCCTTCAATTACAATTCTCCTGTCAGAGCTTAAGTCCGGCTAATTAACTGCCTTTCAAATGACAACCCTATATTTTTAAAGAATTTTTTTAAAACTTCACATGTAATTTATTGCATTGCTTTTGCTAAATGTCCTCCACACCCCCAATGCCTGCTAGGCTGGGTCGCCATGGTATTTTTGTGTAACGAGTCTCAAAATGAGTTTGGCAATGTCTCCGTAATAGTCAGCATGGTGTAAATGACAGTCTGGATCTGCATGTCATTTGGGATTTTATATCAGATTCTCTAGGTTCATTTCTATGATACGTGATGCCAAAGCACCCACATGCCCCGTGGCTGCACTTTCAGACAGTTGGACTCAAACAGAGTGGGAGAGCAACTGATCCAACAATCTGAATTTTCAGAAAACGGGGCTCCTTAGAGATGAGATGGCTTGCCAAAAGTAATCTCTCCTATCAGAAGTACATATCCTCAGCAAACTAACGCAGGAGCAGAAAACCAAACACCGCATATTCTCACTTATAAGTGGGAGCTGAACAGTGAGAACACATGGACACAGGGAGGGGAACAACACACACTGGGGCTTGTCGGGGAAAGGTGGGTGGGGAAGAGCATTAGGGAAAAGAGCTAATGCACGCTGGGCTTAACACCTAGATGATGGGTTGACAGGTGCCGCAAACCATCATGGCACATATTTATGTCTGTAACAAACCTGCACATCCTGCACATGTTCCCTGGAACTTAAAAAAAAAAAAAAAGAAACAAAAACAACCAACCAAAAATATATCTAAAATGTCATCTGTTAGCAATTGACTCACATATTATTAGTATAGAAAAGAGCAATTCCCAGGACCTTGTACAGAGGAAGCAGGCTCAAAACAGCTGAGGAATAGGCCACTTTTATCAGATAGCATTGGATCCATGCACATGGGGGTTGGCTTCTTACCTAAATATGCCATCAGAAATCATCCTTGTTCCTGTCCCCTCAGCTTTTGTAGCTTGCACAGTGAGTAAAGGGATGGTGGAGGCAGAAATGGTAGGAGCCAGAGATGTTCAAAATCCATCTGATGCTTGGCCTGTGCTGAACGTTCTCAAACTGTGGCCTTGTCAGGCCCAGAAAGTGGGGTGGATTCCTGGCCGTTTCTGCTTCTGCCTGGGTGTGAGATGTGAATGCTGCCCCTACTGAAGGGTAGTGCAATTTTTTTTTTTTCTTAAAAGCTTAGACCCAGAGCTGCTAATCTACTGGAAATCACTCAGGACACAGGGCTCTGGGCAGCTGCGCTGAGCGAGACACCTGCAAATGGAGACCAACGGGGCCTCCAGCACCCTGGAGTTCCGTAAGGCCCCCAGCTGAACCCAGGGGAGAAGAGGGCAGTGGGTGGCGCCTCGCTGCTCTGGGCACACACCACCTCTTCTGACTTCTCCCACGTGCTCCGGCTGTGTCGCCTATCAGCACTGATAACAGCCTGGAAGCTTTCAGAACAGAAGCTTTCCCAGCATGGGAAACTCTCATTCTTTCTTTTTTTTAATTTTCCAAAGCCTTTATTTCTAAGACCAACTGTGGCCTACCCGTGCATAAACTGGGCAGGCTGTAGACAGCAGGCTTGCCAAGTAAATACTACAGCCTTCCTCCCAATATTGAGCCCTGTCCCATTGATCCTGCAGGGGAGATGTGTAGGGCATTTGTTCACGGGGAGGCCACAAGTTTGGGCCTCTCATCACTGTGACCTCACACCCCTGTTGAGTGTGTCGTAAACAGAGGAGCCGTTCTTCAAGCCCCCTGCCCTGAGTGCACCCCTCTCATTCTTTTGTTATTATTAGCAAATTCCCCCAGTTCCTGATCATTCTTTCTTAAGCCTTTAGTGACTGGGTAAGGTTCTTGTGGCTGACTCCAAGCTTTCTTCTAAAAGGAATAGATTCTAGGGGTGAGTAGAGGAGACAGGAATGTCGGAGTCAGAGCTCAGGAATCTGGGTTCCAGCCCCAGGTCAATCCTAGATAAACTAGAGGGCTCCTTAACTTACTTCCCTAGGTTGACTCTGGGTTTTTTTATCACGCTCGACAGGACTCCTTATGCATTTCTTCGAAAGAGCATCCAGTCTTAACATCATCATTTGGCCTCATTTGGTTTAAGAAGCAGAATTAGGGTAAAAGCAATGATGGATAAGCCTCATTTTGGTGAATATGATCTTATTGAGACAAGAATTCTGAGTCAATTGTCCTTGGAACCAACTGTCTATTGTTTTCATCTTTATCACAACACTATGTCCAAATTTTGGAAACATGTTTCCCTCCTAGCAGAAAAGAAGCCACCCAGGGCCACCAGATGCTTCCCGACACTTGGCTGGCTTTGTCTGGTCTTCTATCCTTCCCCTATCCCCAGAGTCAGTGGGTACTAAGGTGGCCAGGGTCGCTCAAGGAATCAGAATGCAACCGTCCAGAGGCCCAGAATCAGACTGTCCTCTCTGATTAGGAAAGTGTTTCCTGCCACCTCCCAGGGGGATGTGGGGTGTGGCTTGAGTCTGGTGCTTTTACCAGGAGCTTCCCAGACCTCTCTATGGGTGATGGAGAGAGAGTCTGGGGTGTGAAGGATGGAAATATAAACACTGAATACTCAGAGAGTCAGGCCAGCGAGCTGGTGAGGAGACTCCATCAAACTCAATATGAAAACATGGGTGGGCGTTTGGGGATGGATAATGAATGACAGCTGAAGTCACACATCAGGAGGGAAGGAAGGACTCTCATCTTCAGCAAATGACATAAATCTGGGGAGCCTCAGTTTCCTCACCTGAACAGTGAGAATGATGGAATCTACCCTGAGTATATATCCCAGGTCTTTGTGCAGCATGGAATCAGCCCCCAGCCTTCCTAGCTCTTGCTTTATTTTATTTTATTTTAGAGACCAAGCCTCGCTCTGTCACTCAGGCTGGAGTGCAGTGGCGCGATCTTGACTTACTACAACCTCCTCCGCCTCCTGGGTTCAAGTGATTCTCCTGCCTCAGCCTCCTAAGTAGTTGGGTTTACAGGTGCATGCCACTATGCCTGGTTAATTTTTGTATTTTTAGTAGAGACGGGGTTTCACCATGTTGCCCAGGCTCAACATGCCTGGGCTGAAGCGATCCACCTGCCTTGGCCTCCCAAAGTGCTAGGATTACAGGCGTGAGCCACCGTGCCTGGCCTCTTGTTTTATGTTTGCTGTTCTCGCTGTAGGTGAGGCATTCCCACCATATTCCCTTGTTAAAATCCTACTGGCCCTTCAAATGCCAGCTCATATCCACACTGTGTCTGACCCTGATCCAGAATCCTCTCCCCTTCTTTGACCCCTTGTATATATCTTTCCTACAGTGCTGGTCATATTCTAACTTCTAATCATTTGTAGACTTATCTGGGCATTTTCTCCCAGGAGGTCCCAAAGGACAGAGACCATCTTGCTCACCTTTGTCCCCACTCCAGCACCCAGAATGTTTCAATAAGGTTTTCCTGAATTAAGTGGGAAGCAAAGTATTAGATTCAATACCACTACAATGGGAAAGTGAGTGAATAATTGATAAAGTATACTATGCTCTGGAAATAGATTATTGAGTAATCAGAGGAAAACCTCTTGCAATGTAGTATGTTTTTATATATTAAATTTTATATTATTTATTTATATTTATATTATTAACATATTTTTGTTATTCATTTTGTTTATTAAGATTTACTCTATATATATATGTGTGTGTGTGTGCGCGTGTGTGTGTGTGTAACCCACCTTATTTCTAAAAAAAAATTTTGGCAGTCAGTGACTATTAATAGTAGAGCACAAACTCTTAACCTTTTTTTCCTCCCGCTTTCCCAGAGTCCTTATCACCTTCTAATATAATAAAGTTTTCTTAACTGTGATGTTGATTGTTCAACGTTTGTCTTTCCCACCAAAATGTAAGCTATTGCGGGCAGGGATCTTTGCATGGGTTGTTCTTCATTGCATCCCAGGCCACTAGAACAGTGTGTGGCATATGGCAGGAGTGCAATAAACATTCAGCGAATGCAGGCAGGCATGCGTGAACGCATGAATAATAAGTGTTCCTTTCAACTACCAGAAAGAGCGAAACCACACAGGAGCTGTCTCACCCTCAGAGATTTAAGACGACAGCAATGAGTCCCTCTGATGTCTTCTAAGTGAGCTTTATTTTCAAAACAAATCATTTTCCAATAACCTATCAAAAGCAGGTCCTACCTGAATATCCTTGGCTATTTCCTCTGGATACAGATAATGCCTTCCTCCAATGGATCCTCGGCTCACCTGATGATTGTGTGAAACTGGCCAGAGAAAGCAGAGGGATTTTTCCTGGTGATTGGAAATCAGAGTCACGGCTGAATTTAAGCAACTGTGTGAACTCAGCAAAGTCCCCACCACCTGGACCATACATGACAGCTATGGTTATTGACAAGGTCCTTCCTTAATGGAGCTGGAACCTCCTTCTTAATCTAAATGTGGACTCAAATGAACTGTCAATTCACATAGAGCAATGTGACAAATCCGGGGGGCAAAGCATTATGCAATAGATTGGGCACATGCGCACGTCTCTGCTACTTAGTCAACTTTCTTCTAAAGTTTCCCACTTTTCCCATTACCACAATCAAGATCAGATATCAGTAATATTCTCCGCGTCCCATGCCCTTTCCTCAGGGAGATGCCAAGGCCCAAGAGCTGGTCCCCCCAAAAAGCTGAAGGTCTTTGAAAAAAAGTGGGGACTCAGGTCCCGTGAGTGGTTTTGATTTTCTTTTCTTTTGAAAGTTGCATGTAAGTGTTTTCCAAATACTATACAAGAATGTCTATAACTTAATAATGGAGGAATGTTTTCGTTGTTCTGTGTTGGTGAGATGCTTTCCTATGCGTTTGTTGTATAAGTAAGTGAGAATGGCAGAAGGAAAGGAGGGGAGAGGCTGATCATCCTATCCCGTCTCCCACTCTGGGGGTCTCGGCGCTTCCAGCCTGAAGCGCGCCCGCTGCGCGTCCGGAGACGCAGGTTCCAGGAGCCCCCCGGGGTTGCCCGACTAGGCCACTTGCGCCCCGGAAGAGGGCCGCGGAGGTGGGAGACCCTAACTTACCCGGGTCTGAGATGCCGAGAGAGCCGGGTGTGGAGCTGAGTGCGCGCCTGCCGAGCGCTGAGGCCACAGACAGCCCCGCCCCGGGGCGGCACCTTCTAAGGGCCTGAGCGCTGCACAGGGATGGGGGCGGGCGGGGCCTCCCAGAGCCGCCAGGCGTCCCGCCCCACTCCGCCCACACGCACGGCCCAGCCCAGGGTTCCCCGGGACCACCCCAGACCAGCCCCGGCCCCCCCGGGTCCTCCACACTCTGCACCCCAGACCAACACCAACGCGCGTAGGGAAGCGTTTTAGATCCTGTCGGAGAGGCTCAAGGCCGGCAGAAGGTTTGCATTAGGATCGAGAAAGCCGACCAACGGACAGATCTACCTACCTTCCTGCGGGAGTTTGAGGTTGCCAGGGGGGAAGCCACTGCAGCCAGGAGAAAGGCCGTCTGGGAACCACCCCACCCTCGGACGTGCGGGCCTTCAAATATCTCTGAACATAATCCTCCAAAGACCGCTCAACCTCCGCTCCCGACGACTCTTTCTAGCCTCGTCCCGCACCCCAGCTGTGGCCACACACCTATTAGGCAAACATTTATGAAGCACCCACTTACTGGGTGTGCAGCCCTGAGCTGGGGGTGCAGCTGTGGACCAGACAGGAGGGGGCCCGGAGCGGCAGACAGTCGCTGGAGGCACCCGAGCCTTGGCGAGCACACCCTAACGTCCTTGGGGCCTTTCAGCCCGAGCCGTCCTTGTCCAGAGAGCAAACCATGCAATGATGCAGGTGACTTCCCAGCAAATTTCATAGCGTTGCTCACCAGCTTGGCAGGCAAGAGGAGAAGGGGCAGTCCCCAAAAGACAATCCCATGAACCTTCTAGGGAATGACGTCCAGGCTCCAGGCTCCTGCTCTGCAGGCGGGTCGCAGAGGCAGGTTCCTGACCTAGGACTAGAAGACATTCTCTAGGGTCACTGCCTCCATGGTCTTCCTTGGCAGGTCACTTCTTCCTGGGCTTCGACCTCGGTGTTCTCATGGGGACGAGGGTGATTGGAGGCCCTCCAAGGGGTGCACCGATGTGTCCTGTGCACCAGGCAGAACCAGCATTGCCCTACAGTGTGGGTGCAAAATGAACCCACATGGCCACGTTGGAAAGTCCTGAAATGTTCATAGCCTATGACATGAAATTGCACTGTGTGAAATCTATTTATTCTTTTTTTTTTTTTCTTTTTTTTCTGAGACGGAGTCTCACCCTGTCGCCCCGGCTGGAGTGCAATGGCACGATCTCGGCTCACTGCAACCTCCACCTCCCTGGTTCAAGCGATTCTCCTGCCTCAGCCTCCCGAGTTGCTGGGATTACAGGCACCGGCCACCATACCCTGCTGATTTTTTGTTATTTTTAGTAGAGACGGAGTTTCGCCATGTTGGCCAGGCTGGTCTCGAACTCCTGACTTCAGGTGATCCACCCGCCTCGGCCTCCCAAAGTGCTGGGATTACAGGTGTGAGTCAGCGTGCCCAGACTGAAATCTATTTATTCTATGGAAAGGATCAGAGCTGTAGAAAAATCCTTATGCATGTAAAAGTTCTTTGTGTTTTTACTTGCAATAACTAGAATCTAAACATCCAAAAATAGAAAATATAGGTAATTAAATTGTAGTACATATGATATTATTCTACATAGTAGAATATTATGTGGAGTCCTTAAAATGTTTACAAATAATTTATAACAACATGGGGCCGGGCACAGTGGCTTACACCTGTAATTCCAGCACTTTGGGAGGCCAAGGTGGGTGGGTCACCTGAGGTTAGGAGTTCAAGACCAGCCTGGCCAACATGGTGAAACCTGTCTCTACTAAAAACACAAAAATTTAGCTGGGCGTGGTGGTGGGCACCTGTAATCCCAGCTACTTGGGAGTCTGAGGCAAGAGATTCACTTGAACCCAGGAGGCGGAGGTTGCAGTGAGCCAAGGTCACGCCACTGCACTCCAGCCTGGGCGACAAGAGTGAAGCTCTGACTCAAAACAAACAAACAAACAAAAACCCAACAGGGGAGATCTTTATATTATCATGTTACGTGAAAAATACAAAAACAGAAAACAAAACAAAAACCCCACAAAACTCAAGGCCTTAAATTGTAAATATGAGATGCCAGGCATTATTCCCAAAATCTATAAGGAAGCACACCAACCACCATGTTAACATTGTCTATTAGTGGTAGGCCTATTGGAGATTTATTATCTTATTTATGCTACTTCATGTTTTCCTTCCTTTTTTGTTTTGCAACAACTCTGTATTAGTCTGTTCTCACACTGTTATAAAGAACTGCCTGAAACTGGGTAATTTATAAAGGAAAAAGTCTTAATTGATTCACAGTTCAGCATGGCTGAGGCCTCAGGAACTTACAATCATGGCCGAAGGGGAAGCAAACATGTCCTTCTTTACATGGCAGCAGGAGAGAGAAGTGCAGAGCAAAGTGGAAGGAAAAGCCCCGTATAAAACCATCAGATCTCGTGAGAACTCACTCATTATCATGAAAACAGCATGGAAGAACCGCCTCCATGATCCAATCACTTCCCACAAAGTCCCTCCTGCAACATGTGGGGATTACAATTTGGATTACAATTCAAGATGAGATTTGGGTGGGGACACAGCCAAACCATATCAAACTCTATGTACTTTAATATTTAAGGAAAATTACATAAACTTTATCTGAAAATTCCCTGGATTCTTCTCCTCAAGGTCATGCTGTACATATGCAGGATCCTCCTGCCTACATCTCCAAATGGATAATGGATTGAAGCAAAATGTTTGTCCCACCAAACATTGATGTGTAACCCTTTTAGTAACAATTCATAGACCAGGTAAACATGTGTGGAGCAGCCCAGATCAGCTGGAGGGAGCATTATTCTCATCAGAGTGTGGAACAATGCCTACCCATCTGTCAGCTGGTTATGGTGAAGACAGTATAAATGGAAGCACTGTCAGAAACTAAAGGCTTATGTAAGTGATGCTGTTCTTATGTCTCCTCTTCCTCTCTATCCCACATATGATGAATTATTTTATTATGATGATGCTGTAGTTGTTATTTTCTATTTGAAATGAAAAGACATGATTACAGATGAGAAAGAGTGTATTTTGTTATCCTTGATGCACTTGAAATGGTTTCCTCTTTTTTTTTTCCTGTTTTCTTCTTCTTCCTTCTCTCTTCACTCTTTCATTCTTGCCTCTCTCCATTTTATAGGTATGATTGATCTTGAAATAATGATGATAACAGAATGATAGCCCATATAGTCCTTGGGTCACTTCTGTCTCTATTTCTCTTTCTTCCCTCCTCTTTTTTTCTTGGTCCTTTTGCTAGATGGGTTGCGAGCATGGCTCCCTGCCCCTCTCAGTGGGTTTATCTTCATTTTCCATGAGCTCCCACCTCACTGCATGTGACATCAAAGCCAAAGCTCCAGCCACTTCTCATCCTTTCTTAGGAAAATCTCAAGTCTTAACTTGAAAGTTGAATGTCCTGCTTTTGTTCCTAACTCTGCTCACAGGATAGTGGAAGAAGAAAGGCTCAGCCTGTTACCAGAAAGAACAGATCTGCAGTGTAACCCATCTAGGATGAAGGGTCATGTGGACAGTTCTTCACTCTTCCCTCTGGCTGCCCTTCAGTTGGTGTCCAGATGCCCCTGTGTTAGCCTGGGGGCATTCCTTGCCCTTTGGCCCCTCTTTTGTTGCCTTTTTTTTTCTTAGACAAGGTCTAACTCCGCTGCCCAGGCTGGAGTGCAGTGGTGCGACCATTGCTCATTGCAACCTCGAACTCCTGGCTCAAGACATTCTCCCCGCTCAGCCTCGTGAGTAGCTGGAACTACAGTTGTACACCACCATGCCTTGGCTAATTTAAAAAGTCTTTTTGTAGGGATGGGAGTCTCAGGCTGGTCTTGAACTTCTGGCCTCCAGTGATCCTCCTGCCTTGGCCTCCCAAAGTTTTGGGATTACAGGCGTGAGCCATTGTGCCCTGCCCTTTGTTGCTTTTTCACTCCTTTACCCTGTGGTTTCTACTATCCTCAGGGACAACTCTCATTGCCCTGGGGCTTCTGGATCTTCAGCAAGACACACCCCTAAAGGCAAACAATCTTTCTTTAGCAGCAGCAGAGCACAAACGGAGTGTTGCTGTATGCTAAAAGCATACTATTTCCCCCCCATGAGAAAGTCTAAGGGGTCCAGGGGTCCTGAAGTCCCTATCCTGCCCCCGCCAGTGACAGGTGATGGGGAACAGAATGCTGAAAGAGACCCCACCCAACCATCTGGTGTGTCAACACCCGCCCCTGCCGGTGCTGTCCACAGGTTGATCCCCATCCCACATGGGTGGCTTAACACATTCATGTCTTCTGAGAGCCATTTGTTGCTCCCCAGTCTCTTCTGTCCTCCTTCTTTGACCAACATTTCCCTGTCTGATTTGCTTGGTCACAGGTAGCCTGTGTCAGTTTCCTCCCAGGACTCTCTTTGCCTGGGAATAAGTGCTATACATGAGAAGCATCCCTCCCAAGCGCTGTGTGTGGCCTCCTGGCATTCTCCTAAGACTTCCTAGAGGATTGCTCTGGTTCCAAAAAGAAACCAGCCACAACCTGTTTGGAGCCCTGCAGGATGTTCCAGCTCACCGACTTCATTCCCCACTACTTGCCCCTCTAACAGAGCTTCTAGACCAGCAGCCAAGGTGCCTCCATTCACTGTACATGACTCACCTTTCCCCCTTCTAGACACTTCTTCACGGGTCTAGCCTCTGTTTCCAGCTTTACACAGCACAGGCTGATGCCTGCCACTGAACGGGATCCAGGACTTTTTCAAATCTCAGATCCCCAGCAAAGGTATGACAATGGGCACCCTGACCAGCTCTGAGCCTCTAAGCATAGGGTCTATTTGTTTAATTTTGAATTCACTTTTAAGATTTAAAAATTGAGAGCTCTCATCTTCAACAAAATTCAGGGGATCTAGAAACATCATGCCCACTTGTGGCAGAGTAGCCAACTGGCAGAAACTGATGCTGATGCTGTCTGTTTCCTACACAAAATGCAAACCAGAGTTTACCACAGGCCCCGCTACTCCACATTCTCCTCCACAAGGACACTCAGCAGGCTCCTGTGCTGAACGGCTTGCCTGGTTCTGTAGGTGTAGGGTTTGTTACTCTGTTCCAGGACCTATTTTCCGCAAAGCCCCTTACCTGGCTGTTTCTTCCCTTGGCATACGTGAGAACTCCTTTCCTCACTGAATTGCTTTGACCTTGCTAATTAGTTGTGTTGCAAGTGCTTTTTGGCTGTGTCAGACATGTATGTTCTGTTTATCATTTTAGAGCAATGGTTATTAATTTTTTTCAGATTCTTCTTGGGAATTAGAGAAAAACTTATGGCTCTCCTCCACCATCCTGCCCCCACCTACCCCAATGCACACATGTGCAACATTTGTTCTACAATTCAAGAGCTCTCTAGACCCCTGATATGCTAGGCAATTCGTGGCTGCCACATTAGGAACCCCTGATTTAGGGGAAGGACTGTTTTCTCCATTAGACAAACTCAACTGTGTAGCATCAATTTCATGGGTCTACTGTGTACTGTGCCCAAAAAATGCCACTGAATGCTGCCTGACTGGTGGATAGCAAGACTGTCCATTAATGTGGTCATTTAGGTTGCCTCTGCCCAGGTCTTGAGGTCATTGGCACTAATTCACAACACCCTCAAGTCACCCAGGGAAGATGAGACACAGTTGGCTGTAGACCCACAGTTTGGGCATTACAGCTGCCCTTGAAGTTGACAAATAACCACAACCTTCAAATTGTTATGAAAAGAGCACAAATCCAATTAAGAAAGCTTTTCCAAAAGAAATAACAGTGTTCCTACCCCCTCTGTCACTCTCCACCCCCTTTTTGTCCCAGAATAATGTTGTGCTGATAGGAACATGGATAAATTAATTACAGTCTGGAATGTTATTCATGGGTAGGAAAGAACACTAAATCTACTCGCACAATGTTTGATATTTAAAGATAAACATTGCCTTTATGTTTTTTTTTTAAACCTCAGTCAGCCTAGTTTACGAAGACATAGGTATAATCCTTTTAAATGCTGTGGATTTTTTAATCGCAAAGGTAACAATATGCTGGGTGTTTTACCCAGCCAGAGAACCAGGAGATGCAGGAATGAGATTAGCATCTCTTTAGTTCCTTGCATATTTGATATTATTTTGGTGTACCTCCAATTCCTGATAACATAGAAGAACTCTTGTGGTTGAAGTCCCTGAAATGGAAGGATATTGGTAACCCTGAATTTAAAACAAGCACAGGCAGCCTTTGTGGGAATGTGTGTGAAGGTCACCTTCTAGAAACAGGACTGTCCATAGCCATTGCCATGGTTTCTGTGTCATTTCAACCAGAACCTTAGGCCTGGAAGTCTGGATGGATGTGGGTTGGCATGGTCCTCTATGGGCATTAAATGAATAAATGGATATAGCAGAGGGAGTATCCAGCATGACTCAAAGAAGGATGAGAGGAAACATATTCAAATAAAATCTTTAGAAAAGCAAATTTCAAAAAAAAATGCTTAAGTATAAAATATTTTGATGACAACCATGATTTTCAAATTGAATTCTTATTCTAAGTAATGGTCTAATCTGAACTTAGACCTCTTTCCTTAATTTTTTTCTCAATAAGCCTTTGGTGTCTAGTCAGTTCAATTCAGTATTTACTGAGTCTCTATACAGACAGGGTATAAGGCATTAATCAAATGTATGTCCAAAATTGCCCACCATGCAGGGCAGAGCTAAAATGCCTAACACCCCTCCTCTCACCAACACATCCCCCACCCACATCTCCAAAGACTTCCTGGCAGAGGTGATCTCTGCCTGCTGGGACAGATGTATAGGCTCCAACAGCAGCAGGGTGGCCCCTCTGACCACCACCTTGGGACCCACATTGCTCTTAGAACTATTCCTCTTTTTTCATCCTTGAAGCCCCCAGCAAAGCTCAGCCTGAATCAACTTTTTCTAGGAATCTGACAAGTTTCCAGGCTGATTTCCTGACCCAGTCAGATCCTCTTCCATCTTTCTTTGGGTGTTCAATTTTCTACGTCATTTTCCACCTCACATATTGGCCGTTGATGACCACATCAGCTCTTCTATGCTGTAAGCTCCCAAGGAACAAATTCTATCAAATGATTGGCCTTTCAGCTCTCTACTGTGACCAGAAAGTTGCCCAGTACATAAAAAGGGGTTCACAGGTATTTCTCACGTGGATAACTGGTGACTCATCTATCCATGATTTTGGGGATCCCCCACTTCCTGGACTAATTGTAAACCACCTTCTACCACCTGGGGGTGCCTGAGCACAACAGAGCTAAGTGAACATTTCATCAGTCTAATTGAATTCAGTGGAATGTTGGGGGCCTGGAAATTTGGACTAGGAAGGTAAGCAGGAGGAATAAGTGTGAATGACAGTATCTAAATTAAAATCTGTTGCCACGAAAGAAGATCAGACCTTTTCTCCTCTGATTTGTCCTTCTAGAAGTCACAAGATGCCCAAAGAATCATAAGCAATGGGTAACTAGGCAAGGGAATTATCTCTGACAAATGCCATGATTGCTCAGTGTCCCATTTCTCTTGGCAGCAAGAGTGGCCCAAAGACTAAACTGAGATGGGGGTCTGCACCCCTGCATGGGACTCAGGCTCTGCAGCTAGCCTTCCAACCACTAAACCTGAGCTGAGGTACTTTTAGCTCTTTATTTCTTGTTTTTCTCATTTGTCACTCAGATGAGAAGAATGCCCGCTCTGTTTGACTCAGTGTCAGCGTGATGAAGTAAAACAGCTTCTTTAAATCCCTCTGCAACAAGGCAGTGAATTGAAAATAAGAAAGATAGGGAAGAACATTCTGGGCAAGACAGCTCAATGAGTTCATGCTTTGATCGATCTCTCAGCTCTGAACACAAAGCCATGACAGGTAGGTATAAAAATAGAAAGCTAAAAAGAGATGTCTGGCTCAACAGAAGCAGAAGAGACACTGCCAGAAGCCTCTGACCTACTGGGCTCTTTGTCTAAAATCAGCAGGGAGTTTGGCCTCTGCTGGGCAAATCCAAGACGCCCCACCCAAGATGGCAGACAGGAACCAAGTACTTGCTTAAAGTCAGGAACTAGGGTGGGGCCCCGAAAGAAAGACAGTGCCTCACTGCTGCCTAGGGACCAAGGTTTTAGAAAAATAAGGTTGAGGGGCCAAGATGGCCGATTAGCTGCTGCTGCAGTCCGCGGCTCTCATGGAGAGGAATGAAAACAGCCAGTGAATTCAGCACCTTCAACTAAAATATCCAGATTCTCGGCCCCACTCGGACTAGTCAGACAACTAGACCTATGGAGAATGAAGAAAAGCAGGCTGGGAAAATGGTCCACCCGAGAGCGGCACGGAGCCAAAGGAAGCCCCACCCCAGCAAAGGGAAGAGGTGAGTGAGTGTGCGACACCACCCGGAAAACCATGCTTCTCCCATGGATCTTCGCAACCCGCAGATCGGGAGATCCCTTCATGAGCCCATGCCACCGGGGCCTTGGGTCCGACACACAGAGCTGTGCAGAGTCGTGGCAGAGCGGCCACTCAGGCACACACAAAGACCCAGGAATTTTACATACTCCAGCCCAAGGAATCCCAGCAAGGCAGGAGATCCATTCATCTATTCCCCCAGGAAGGGGGCTGAACCCAGGGAGCCAACCAGCATTGCTTTGCAGGCCCCGTTTACACAGCACCTCACAGGTTAAGGCCCACTGTAATTTTTGCCAGCCAGTGGTGACAGCCTGGAGTCAGCCTGAGATGGACTGAGCTCTCGTGGGTAGAGGCAGCCACCATCTCTGCGGTTCAGTTGACTCAGCCATTCTAGCCTGCCAGCTCCGGGGAGTCCAGACAGTCTGGACAAGGAGGAGTCTCCCACAACGTGTAGCACAGGTGCTGTGCCAGATCGTGGCCAGACTGCTTCTTTAAGTGGGACCCCGATCCAATCCTCCTCACTGGGTGGGGCCTCCCTGTGGGAATTTCAGCAGCTCCAGCCAGGGTTATATGGAAAATACTCTGCTCTCTCCTGGGACGGAGACCCCCATGAGAAGGGGTGGCCGACGTCGCTGCAGTTCAGTGGACTCAGTCTTTCCAGCCTGCTGGCTCTGGAGAGTTCAGGCGGTCTGGAGGAAGGGTCCCCTCAATGCAGCACACCCGCTACACCTGCTCTAACAAAAAGCAGCCAGACTGCTTCTTTAAGTGGGCCCCTGATCCCGTTCCTCCTGACTGGGTGAGACCTCCCAACAGGGGTCTCCAGAGACCTCCCACAGGAGCGATCAGGCAGGCAACATGTCAGTACATTCCTGGGATGGAGAAAAATGAGCAGGCTGCCATCTTGCTGTTTTGCAGACTTCACTGGTGATACCTCCGGGTATGGGAAAAACCAAGGCAACTAGGGTCTGGAGCAGACCCTGAGCAAACCACAGCAGCCCTGCGGAAGAGTGACCTGACTGATAAAAGAAAAACAAACAAACAAACAGAAAGCACCACCGACAACATCAACCAGGAAAACCCCATTCAAAGGTGAGCAACCTCGAAAATCAAAGGTTGATAAGCCCACACAGATCAGAATCAATACAAAAACGCTGAAAACTCAAAAAGCCAGAGTGCCTCTTCTCCTCCAAATGACTGCAACACCTTTCCAGCAAGGGCATGGAACTAGGCTGAGGCTGAGATGGCTGAAATGACAGAAGTAGGCTTCAGAAGGTGGCTAATAATGAACGTCACTGAGCTAAAGGAGCATTTTGTAACATTAAAAAGTGGGGAAACGACATGAACAGACACTTCTCAAAAGAAGACATTCATGCAGCCAACAAACAAATGAAAAAAAGCTCAACATCACCGATCATTAGAGAAATGCAAATGAAAACCACCATCAGCTACCATCTCACTCCCATCAGAATGGCTATTATTAAAAAGTCAAGAAACAACAGATGCTGGTGAGATTGCAGATAAAAATGAATGCTTTTACCCTATTGGTGGGAATATAAATTAGTTCAACCATTATGGAGGACAGTGTGGCGATTTCTCAAAGATCTAGAGGCAGAAATACCATTTGGCCCAGCAATCCCTTTACTGGGTATATATATCATTCTATTATATATACATAAAATAGGAATACAAAACATGCTATTCCTATTATATGTGTAATAGGAATACAAATCATTGTATTCTAAAGACATGCATATGTTCATTGCAGCATGATTCATAATAGTAAAGACATGGAATCAACCTAAATGCTAGACTGGATAAAGAAAATGTGGTACATATACACCATGGAATACTATGCAGCCATAAAAAGGAAAGAGATTATGTCCTTTGCAGGGACACCGATGGAGCTGGAAGCCGTTATCCTCAGCAAACTAATGCAGGAACAGAAAACCAAACACTGCATGATCTCATTTATAAGTGGGAGCTGAATGACAAGAACACATGGCCACGTGAGGGGAATAACACACACTGGGGCCTGTCAGGGAAGGGGGAGAGAGAGCATCAGGAAGAATAGCTAATGGATGCTGGGCTTAATACCTACGTGATGGGTTGATCTGTGCATTTTGTAACCAAATGTACCTGTAATTTATGATCCAATTCAAGTTGAATTTTTTATAAAAGATAAAGGAAAGATTAGGATTATGTTTTTACATAGAAATGCACAATTGTTTCAGTACAAACTAAAGAGATTTTCAGAATTTCATAGATGAAAACAATTCACATTTGCTAAAATGTATCCTATTAATACTAACGGTTGTACTTCAGCCATAAGAAAAGAGGACAGAAGGGAATGTGTGAAAGTCAGTATTAAATGGTAGTCAATTAAAAATAAAATAAAAATTTTGAAAGGTAAAATAATAATTACTGAAACTGATAAACAATATTAATAATTTTAATAGCCATTAAATTAACAAAATAATAATAATTAGATTTGGAATTTTTTAAAGAATAAGATGAGTTAAATGGGTGAAAGTCCACAGAAAGAAAGTTTTCTGGGTCCTTGATGTGATCGGGAAGAAAACAGAAATATTTAACAACAGAAATTTTGTAGGAAATTCATAGTTTACTAAGTATGCTAAAATTTTATAGATAATTACAAAAAGGATATAAGTAATCTATAAGTTGCAAAGCAACAAAATATATTCTTTTGTGTAAATAAAAGGGAAAATAGAATGGTTTCTCACACCAATGAGAAATAGGAGGGAAAAATACTTTAAGAGAAAAAGTTGTGAAATAAAAATCAAAATGTAACATGGTAAAAATATATGCAGGTACATCAATAATCATAATATCTTTAAATAGAATAAGCACACAAAAGACTACAATGATTACATTGAATAACAAAATAAAATCTAATTATATGCTGCTTACAAGATATACATTTGAAGTAAAACCAAATTGAAAAGTTGAAAATTAAGTAATAAAAAAATACTAAGCAAAGGCTAACACACAGAAATCTAAGGTAGCAATATTAACACAAGACAAAGTAAAAATTCAGGTGATTAATAGTATACAAAGATCACCCAATTTAATAAAAGGAAACAGTCTGCTAGGAAAATATTACAATTATGGGTATGTAGTTAACTATACAGACTCAGCAAATATAAAGCAATCCTGGCAGATTTATAAGACATTGATATATCTATCTATCTTATCAATTCCCTTAAGGGGAACTGAGTTGTAGGGAGCCATTTAACACACTTCTCTCAGCAACTGGTAGATCTGCCCTCCCCAACATAGTAAGCATATAGAATATTTGAGTGATGAAATTAACAAAGTTCATTAAATATATATATAGAGAGAGCACTACACCCAACCAATAAACAATATGCATTTTTTTAACAAGTGTTCACGGAACTTTTTTTACCATTTGGCCATGTACTAGATCATGAAAGAAGTCTCAAGAACATTTTAAATATTAGTTTTACATACGTGCTTGGCTCTATGATCAAAATGCAGTTAGGTTATAAATCAGCAGTAAATTTATGGTCAATAAATCTTCACATATCTGAAAACCAAAAACCAAGTACATGTCTACTTAACCCATTGGTTAGAGAAGAAAACATTTTAGAAACAATAAAATACTAAATGCCATAGAAAATACTATATATGAAAGTTTCTGGGATGCAGCTAATGTGGTTCTTAGAGGTAAATTGACAGCATTAAATGAATTTTTGAAAAGAAAAATGATAGAAAATAAGTTTAACTAAAAAAAGGAGACATATGAAATAAACTAAAGAAAGTAGATTAAACAAAATTTTAAAAACAAAAATTAGCAAAAATGAAAATGAAAAAGGAGAGAAGAGCTACTAGATGAAAAGCTACTCAAGGAACACAATTTGAAGATTTAAATAAGATATATATTTTTCTAGAAAAAAAACATGAACTTCCAAAGTCAATTTATGAATAGAGCTTCATCATAAAACTGGAATCTATAAAAAGTATCAGTTCAATAGATGGATTTACTAACATATTAGACACAGCTGAAGAAATTATTTATGAATTAGAATGTAAGTCAGTTAAAAATATTCAGGGTGAAACACAAGAGAAAAATAATGAAAAATACAAAAAAAGAGTATAAGAGATGTAAGGAAAAGGATTAAGAGAAGTGCAGTTAGAGGCTGAGAAGTACAGAAGAAAGTGAACAGAGCAGAAGTGATATTTGAAGAGATAGGGACTGAGAATTTTCCAAAAACTGATTTTAAAAATGAAGCCATGGGTGAAAGAAGTATTTAAAACTTCAAGAAAAATTACTTTAAGGAAAATCAGAATTTCTTAGTGCATCATATTAAAATGCTGAAAACAAAAAATAAAGAGAAAATCTTACAATCAGACAGAGGGGAAAAAGATATACAGGAATCACCAATAAGATAGATACTGTATCTCATTTCTCAAAAGGAAGATTGAATACTATAGAAAATTAAATGGCATCTTTAAAGTGCTGAAAGAAAATAACTACCCACCTAGAATTCTATACCTAATGAAAATGTCCTTTAAAAATGAAGGCAAAATAAAGGCTCTAATAATTCAAGGAGCGTTCTGTAATCTCTAATGTTTTAACTAAAATAATGAAAGAATGTATAAATAATAATGGGGAAATATGAAACAAAGAAAAATACTTCATTAATCTAAAAAGCATAAGAAATAATAAGTCCATAGACAAGTGTAACAAACAGAAACATTACAGAGTTGGTAAAACTTGAGGAGAAATAGATGAATCCACTATTCAACACTACTTTAACAGAAACAGACAGATACAGCATGCTAAAAATCAGTGCGAACATAGTTGAATTCAGCAGCACCATCAATCAACTGGATCTGATTCATCTAAAACGTCATCCAACAACAGCAGAATACACATTCTTCTCAAGCTCATATGGAACACTCACCAAGATAGACCACATTCTGCGTCATAAAATACACTTGGCAAATTTAGAAGAATCAAAATCATCCTATGTCTGCCCTCAGACCACAATGGAATGAAAACTAGAAATCAATGACAGAAAGATAACAGGAAAAATCCCCAACTACTTGGAGGTTGAACAATATACCTAATAACACATGAGTCAAAGAAGAAATCTCAAGGTAAACTTTAAAATATTTTGAACTAAATGAAAATAAAAATACGTGTTGTCAAAATTTGTGAGATGCAGCAAAAGCAGTGTTTAGAGGAAAAGTTGTAGCATTAAATGCATATGTTAGAAATGAGGAAAGATCTAAAATTAACAATCAGCTTTCAGCATGGAAAACTGAAGAAGAACAACTTAAGCCTAAAGCAAATAGAAAAAAAAAGAAATAAGAAAAATTAATTAAAAATAGGAAATAAGTGAAGAAAATCGACAAAGACAAAAGCTGGTTCTTTGAAAACATCAATAAAATTGACAAACTTCTAGTCAGGCTAAGAACAAAAAACGGGAGACACAAATTACCAACATTAGATATGAAAGAGAGTCATCACTACTGATCACATGAACAACAAAATGATCATTTAAAAATACTGAAAACAACATTATGCTCACAATTTTGAAGAACTTTGATGAAATGGACCAATTCTTTGAAAGACCCAAACTACCAAAACTCACACAAGGAAAAATAGATCTGAATAGGCCCATATTTATTAGATAAATTGAATCAATAATTAATAGACTTCCAAAAAGAAAGCACCAAGCTAACCTGGTTTCCCTGGTAAATTCTATCTAACACTTTTAAAATAAGTGATATTAATTCTCTGTAGTCTCTTTCAGAAAATAGAAGCAGAGGAAACACTTCCTAATTCATTATATGAGGCTAACATTATCCTAATACCAAGAGCAGACATTACAATAAAGGGAAACTACAGACTAATATCTCTCATGAATGTGGATGCAAAAATTCACAACAAAATATTAACAAATCAAATACAATAATGTACAAAAAGAATTATACATCACAAATGAGTGAGATTTATTTCAGGTATGGAAGGCTGGTTTAACATTTGAGAGTCAGTTAATGGAACCCACCACACCAACAGGCTGAAGAAAAAAATCATATGATTATATCAATTGATGAAGAAAAAGCATGACAAAATCCAAACCCATTCATGATGAAAACTCTCAGCAAACTAGGAATTCAACTTCATAAAGCACATCTACAAAAACCTACAGCTAACATCATCCTTGATGGTGAGAAACTGAATGTTTTCTCCTTAAGATCAGGAATTAGACCAAGATGTCCCTCTCACAACTCCTATTCAACATTATACTGGAAGTTCTAGCTTGTGTTAAAAAACAAGAAAAGGAAATAAAAGACATACAAGTTGGGAAGGAAAAAATAAAACTGTCTTTTTCACAAATGACATGATTGTCTATTTAGAAAATCCCAAGAATTAACTAAAATTTCTTGGAACTAATAAGTGATTTTATTAGTTTACTAAGACTGCCAATAACAAAATACAACAGACTGGGTGAGTTAAATGACTTAAATTTATTTTCTCATAGTTTTGGAGGCTAGAAGTTCAAGGTCAGGGTGTCAGCAGGTTTGATTTCTCCTGAGGCCTCTCTCCTCCTCTTGCAGATGGCCACATTTTTGCTGTGTCCTCACATGGCCTTTTCTCTGTGTATGAAAATCCCTGGTGTCTCTTTCTGTTTGTCTCATCTTCTTAGAGGGACACCAGTCAGATTGAATTAGGGTCCACCCTAGAGGCCTTATTTTAACTTAATCACTTTTTAAAGTCCACATCTCCAAATGCAGTCACATTCTAGGGTACTGGGGATTAGGGTTTCAACATATGAAATTTGTGGAGGGACAAATTCAGTCCATAATAGTGATTATATTATAGCAAGGTTGCAGAATACAAGGTTGATACAGGAAAGCCAATGGCTTTCTTATATACTATCAATGAACAATTAAAAATACAAATTTAAAAGCACAATATCATTTACAATAGTACCAAAGAAAGAAGGAAAGACATTAATTCTCAGGTAGAAATCTACAAAAACATATACAGGATCTATATGCAGAAAACTATAAAACTCTGATGAAAGAAATCAAATCAAATGAAAACAAATGGAGAGATATTTCATGTCCTTGGATTGGAAGACTCAATGTTATTTAAAAGACAATTCACTGTAACTTGATCTATAGATTCAACATAATCTCCCCAAATTCCAGCAAGCTACTTTGTGCATATCAACAAACTGATTCTGAAGTTTATATAAAAAAGCAAAAGACATAAAATAGCCAATACAGTATTGAAGAACAGAGTTGAAGGCTGACACTACTGACTTCAAGACTTAATATAAAGCTCCAGCAAGGAAGACACCACAGTACTGGTGAAAGAATAGACACTTAGGTCAGTGGAACAGAATAGACAGGCCAGAAGAGGACTCTCACAAATATACTATAGTCAATTCTCTTTGATAAAGAACCAAAGACAATTCAATGGAGTAAGGGCAGTGTTTTCAACAAATGGTGCATAACAATTGGACAGCCACGTATAAGAAAACAAATCTAGACTCAGATCTTACACCTTTCACAAAAACTAACTGAAATAGATCATGGATCTCAATGTAAAATACAATATTTTCAGATTTCCAGAAAAAAAAAAGCAGAAAATCAATGTAACCTTGAATTTAGTGATGAGTTTTAAAATACAAGCCAAAAAGCATGATTCATGAAAAAAATTTATAAATTATACTTGATTAAAATTAAAATACTATGTTCTGTGAAAAATACTGTTAAGGGAATCAAAAGACAAGGCACAGATTGGGAGAAAATATTTGCAAACCACCTATGTGATACGGGAACTTGTATCCAAAATACACAAGAAACTCTTAAAAAAACAAGAAAGCAAGTAATGCAATTTTAAAGTGGGCTAAAGATCTGAAGAGACAGATCACCAAGGAAGATTCATAGAATGGCAGATAGAAAGATGCCCATCATAATTTACGGCTGGGCACAGCAGCACCAGCTCCTCAGAAGGCTGAGGCAGGAGGGCCCCTTGAAACCAGGAGTTTGAAGCTATTGTAGGCTATGATGTGCCTGTGAACGGCCACTGCACTCCAGACTGGGCAACATAGTGAGAGCTCATCTTTAAAATAAATAAACAAATGAATAAATAATTAATTTGTCATTAGAGAGTTCCAAGTTAAAACAATAGCAAGATGCCACTACACACCTATGAGAATGGTTAAAATCCAAAAGCCTGACAATACCAAATGATGACAGAGAGGCAGAGCAACAGGAACTCTTGCTCATCGCTGGTGGGAATGCAGAATGGTGCAGCCACTTTGAAAGACAGTTTGGCTGCCTCTTACAGAACTAAATATAGTCTTAGTACAGAATCCATCTGCTGTGCTCCTAGATACTTATCCAATTGATTTGAAAACTTATGTTCGCATAAAAAAATCTGCATGTAAATGTTTAAAGCAGATTTATTCATAATTGCCAAAAACTGGAAGCAACTAAGATTCTGTTCAACAGCTGAATGAATAAACAAGTTGTGGTACATCTATATAGTGGAATACGGAATATAATTCTGCAATAAAAAGAAATGAGTATTGAGCTATGAAAAGTTGTGGAGGAATCTTAAATGCATACTGCTAAGTGAAAGAAGCCAGTATGTTTATAGCAGCATGATTTATATTCCTTTGGGTATATACCCAGTAAACTATGCAACCATAAAAATGATGAGTTCATGTCCTTTGTAGGGTCATGGATGAAGCTGGAAACCATCATTCTCGGCAAACTATCGCAAGGACAGAAAAACAAACACTGCATGTTCTCACTCATAGGTGGGAATTGAACAATGAGAACACTTGGACACAGGAAGGGGAACATCACACACCGGGGCCTGTTGTGGGGTGGAGGGGGGGAGGGATAGCATTAGGAGATATACCTAATGTAAATGACGAGTTAATGGGTGCAGCACACCAACATGGCACATGTATACATATGTAACAAACCTGCACGTTGTGCACATGTACCCTAGAACTTAAAGTGTAATAAAATACATATATATATATAAAGAAGCCAGTATGCAAAGGCTACATATTATATGATTCCAATTACATAATAGTCTGGAAAATGCAAAACTGTAGAGACTCGAAAGTGATCAGTGAGTTCCAGGGTTAAGGTGGAGGGTAGAGGGTGAATAGGTGAACTGCAGGTAATTTTTAGGGCAGTAAGATTATTGTAATGTAAAATTTTAGGGCAGTAGAATTATTTAAATGGTGGATATAAGATATTGCGTTGCATTGCCTATGCAACCAAAGGTGAACCTTAATGAATGCAAATTTTGAAAAATTATTTAAGAGGTTGGGGGATCCCAAGAGAGAATGCAGACCATGAGAAGAGAATCTAACTGTATTACAAATATAGGAAACACTCTCACTGAAGGGATGGGTCGGGGAGGGGAAGAGAAGAATACTGAAGTATTTTGGAAATAAGTGAGGCTTATAAGATTAAAGGCAAAGGGAACTGCATGTGAGCACTGTACTCTAGTTGAAAAAATTGTTTCCCATAGAGGTACTGGTTAACAATTCTGTTATTGCTATGTATTTATACTGGAATGGAACAATTACATGAATGGATGGCAGATGGTAGAAGCCAGGTTTCTCACCACTGGAGTGGCTGTTTATCAAAAAGCAGGAGGAGAAAGAATCATTCATGCAGTGATGGATTTGAGTTGGAGAGAGCAGTGTGGACTCATATTTAGCTCAATAGAGAGGCTGATGGTTATCTATAGAAGTATTTATAGATATGCATATATACATGATATAGTATAAACATGTGTGTTTCTTGCTCTGTCCCTGAAACAGCCTGAAAGAAATGACATCCCAGTAACAGCAAACGTGCACAGCACCGTATCTTGGTTTCTAATACTATTCTCCATTTAAACGAACCAGGATTCTTTGGAGAAGTGGCTGTTTCTAAGACTGGGACAGGAAATATCCAAGATGAGCCTAAAGCATCTGGTAGTGCCAGAAAGTAAGGAGGTGCTCAAGAACAAAACAGGACCAAACAAAACATTGATCAGGGTCTGTCAAAGGAGCACAGATGCCAGCTAAAAGAGTTCCCAATGGCCAAAGCTGGAACACTTTGCGGTAATAAAGTAGTATTGGATTATAACCTACAGTATAAAGTAAATATGCATGGTATAAATACATGGTTAAATATATTAATAAATGAGGAAGCAGAGACAAATCTCTCTTACAAAAGAATTCCATATATTTTACACAGGTACTCTGTCTTCAAGAAGAAGGAATCAAACTCCCCATTCCTTCAGTGTGAGCTGTACATAATGACTTCCTCCCAAAGTGTACAATATAGAAAAGGGGAGAAAAAGAGTAAATTTACAGTGGAGGACCCTGACAAGCGCCACTCAGGCAGGCGACCAAGGCTACCTTCCGCACTCATAAATCATGCTGACAGTAGGTACGCTTGATATCACGGGATGAAAATAGCACTTCACCTCTGTGATTTTCTTTCCAATAACTTACAACCCCAGTTTTCTAATGAGAAAAATATCAGGCAAATTCCAAAAGTGGGACATTCTACAAAATACCTAAGCAGTCCTCAGAACCCTCAATGCATCTAAAGAAGGAAAGTCGGAGAAACTGCCACAGACAGCAGGTGCCTAAAGAGACATGACAACTAAATCTAATGTGGGATTCTGGAACAGAAGGAAAAGACATTAAGTAAAGACTGAAAGAACAAAATTATGAACTTTTGTTAATAACAGGTCATTATTTGTTTCATTGTAACAAATGTAAGATATCGATAATAGGGGAAACTGGATGTGAAGTATATTGAAAGAATTGAACAATGAAAACACTTGGACACAGGAAGGGGAACATCACATAACCAGGGCCTGTTGTTGGCGGGGGGGATGGGGGGAGGGATAGCATTAGGGGATACACCTAATGTAAATGAAGAGTTAATGGATGCAGCACACCAACATGGCACATGTATACATATATAACAAACCTGCACATTGTGCACATGTACCCTAGAACTTAAAGTATAATAATAATAAAAAAGAAACTCTCTGTGCCATCTTCTCAACGTTTCTAAAAATCTGAAACTGCTGTAGAAAATAAAATCTATTTTAAAAAATTTAAATAAGCAAACTGCTCACTACTACACAAAAAAAGCAAAGATTAGTCTCTTGAGTATAAAATTGAGCAGAAGAAGCCAGACACAGCCTGCAAGCTCCAACTCCATTCATAAAGAGTTTGCAAACTGGCAGCGATGGCGCGAGAGCTTAGGAAATTGTTTCACTGGGGGAAGTGGAACAGACGTTGACTGGATGATGTCACATGAGGGGCTTCTGGGGTACTATTAACATTCGATCTCAAATCCAATTGGTGGTTATATTTTTGTTTCCTTAAATTAATAAGTATTAATTTATGAAAATTAATTGAAATGACACTCATAATCTGTGCACTTTTCTGTACAATTCAATAAACTTAATGATAAAAACAAGAATGAATCAGAACTGTGTATATCAACATGGATCAATCTAAAAAGCAATGTTGATTAAAAAAATTTAAAAATATGTCCGGGTGCAGTGGCTCATGCCTGTCATCCCATCACTTTGGGAGGCCGAGGTGGGCGGATCACCTGAGGTCAAGAGTTTGAGACCAGCCTGACCAACACGGTGAAACCCCATCTCTACTAAAAATTACAAAAATTATCATGCCTGTAATCCCAGCACTTTGGGAGGCCGAGGTGGGCGGATCACCTGAGGTCAGGAGTTTGAGACCAGCCTGACCAACATGGTGAAACCCCGTCTCTATTAAAAAATACAAAAATTATCATGCCTGTAATCCTGGCACTTTGGGAGGCCGAGGCGGGCAGAGCACGAGGTCAGGAGTTTGAGACCAGCCTGGCCAACATGGTGAAACCCTGTCCCTACTAAAAATACAAAAATTAGCCAGGCGTGGTGGCATGGGCCTGTAATCCCAGCTACTCAGGAGGCTGAGGCAGGTGAATTGCTTGAACCCAAGAGGCAGAGGTTGCAGTGAGCCAAGATCTCACCATTGCACTTCAGCTCTGGGCAACAGAGTAAGACTCTGTCTCAAAAAAAAAATACAAAAATTAGCCAGGCATGGTGGCGGGCGCCTGTAATCCCAGCTACTCAGGAGGCTGAGGCAGGAGAATCGCTTGAACCCGGGAGGCACAGATTGCAGTGAGCCAAGATCGTGCCATTGCACTTCAGCCTGGGTGACAGAGCAAGACTCCATCTCAAAATAAATAAATGAACAAATAAATAAACAAAGCAATGTTGAATGTTAAAAAAGTAATTTGTCAAATAATAACTAAAATAGACTACTTTTTTTATACGTACCTTCTGTAAAACAAACTATGTTCTTATTTATGGGCTTACAAAATTTAGCCTAAGTATCAAAACACACTTGAGATTATAAATACCAAATTCATGATAGCAGTTATCTCTGCAAAGAGAGGAAAGAAAATGAAATTGAGGAGGGGGACTCACTTTTTTTTTTTTTTTTGAGACAGAGTCTCACTCTATTGCCCAGGCTGGAGTGCGGTCGCATGATTGCGACTCACTGCAAGCTCTGCCTCCCAGATTCAAGTGATTCTCCTGCCTCAGCCTCCCGAGTAGCTGAGACTACAGGCGCACACCACCACACCTGTATTTTTTGTAGAGATGGAGTTTTGCCTTGTTAGCCAAGCTGGTCTCGAACTCCTGACCTCAGGTGATCCACCTGCTTTGGTCTCCCAAAGTGCTGGGATTATAGGCATGAGCCACCATGCCTGACCAACTTCTACCTATACTGTTGCATGTATATATATTTAAAAATCCAAAAAACATATTGCAAAATGTTAAGTTGTGATACAGTTGGGTTCAGCTACAAGGGTAACCATGACATTTCTCTATAACTGCTTCTAGTTTTGAAATACATATATATGTATACACACACACGAGTGTGTGCTCTATAAGAACATGTAACTAATATTGTATAGTGCAATAACAGCCTAGGAGAATTAACAAGCATTTTGCCATCAATACTTATCCTTTGTGTTGCTGAGGATGAATGAACCCATAGATCATTAGTCTTTGAAGCCGTTGGCTTCTTTTAAAAGTGGTTCTAACTCGAAGACTAATGACCTTTGCATTTCACCAGCCCCACCTTGTTAATCTCATATCTTTCAAGACATGTACACTTTGGGAGGCCGAGGCGGGTGGATCATGAGGTCAGGAGATCGAGACCATCCTGGCTAACAAGGTGAAACCCCGTCTCTACTAAAAATACAAAAAATTAGCTGGGCGCGGTGGCGGGTGCCTGTAGTCCCAGCTACTTGGGAGGCTGAGGCAGGAGAATGGCGTGAACCCGGGAAGCGGAGCTTGCAGTGAGCCGAGATTACGCCACTGCAGTCCGCAGTCCGGCCTGGGTGACAGAGAGAGACTCCGTCTCAAAAAAAAAAAAAAAAAAAAAAAGACATGTAATCCCAAAGTTTCCTTGAAGATAAATTACATTTGCTGACAGGACTCTTTAGAACCACTGAGAACAGTCAGATATTGGAGGTCAATGAGGAAACAACCCCACTGCTGATTCACTCCATAGCATGCACTGAGCACCCACATGGTCCACATGAGATGTGATGGGGCTTGAACCAGTCTGGCTGTAGAGGGGAAAGAAGGAGAGAAACAGATCTGAGAAGCATTTTGAGGCAGAGCTGTCAGAAGTCACCAAATGGCTCTGAATAACATGGCGGAGTCCAAGAGGCCAGAAGAAGAATCAAGAACAGCCAGGGCCGGTTTGAGCAGCTGTGTGAAGGCTGGCACCATTAACTAGGGTAGAAAGCATGGTGGAGAAATGGGGCTGGCTAAGCAAAGTTGCGGGTTCAATCAAGAAGTTTGCCTTTGGAATGTGTCATGGTTGAGATGCCTTTCACAATCCAAGTCTAGGCCTGGTGAGGTGGCTCATGCCTGTAATTCCAGCACTTCGGGAGGCTGAGATGAGAGGATCGCATCAGTCCAAGAATTTGAGACCAGCCTGGGCATCATAGTGGGACCTCATCTCTACAAAAAAACATTTAAAAATTAGCTGGCTGTAATGGTAAATGCCTGTAGTCCCAGCTACTTGGGAGGTTGAGGTGGGAGGATGGCTTGAGCCTGGGAGGTTGAGGCTGTAGCAAGCTATGATTATGCCACTGCACTCCAGCCATGGTGACAGAGCAAGACCTCATTTCAAAAAAAAAAAAAAAAATCCAAGTCTAGATGTGACCAGGTATGTGGAATCTGGAGCTCAAAGAGGAGTCAGACTGGAAAGATATACACTTGGATGTCACCAGCATATTGATGTTGCTTCATGCCATGGGACCCAATGGGGCCCCCCCACCCTGGAGGAGGGTAGTTAGAGAAGAGAGGTCTGAGGATCAAGTCCTGGGATGGTTAGAGTTTCATAGAGGAGCAGGAACATAAATAATAAAGGCCAACCACATAAGGAAAACAAAAGCTATATATTCAGGGTATACTGTAACAAGGGAGTCGTCACCATCACTTACATTTTGGTAGAGACTCCAAGGCAAGAGTGGGAAAGTTTGACAGTGATGTTAACCAAAAACTGACAGAGGCAGGTGTCTCAATTGATAGCGGTTTATTTCGCCAAGGCTGAGAATGTGCCTGGGAAAAACTCGAGTCACAGGAACATCTATGACCTGTGCTTTCCAAAGAGGGTTTTGGGAATTCAGTGTCGAAAAGGCAAAGAACAGACAGGAGGGAAAAAAGCGAGGGAGGGTGGGCAGTGAGGCAAATGGTAACATTATTGTGAGGTTCTGATTAACGCTCAGTAAATTGGCATTTTACATAAAATAAAGCAAACACGTGAAAAGAGGAAGTATGGGGAAAAGTCAATGATGCATTTATCTCAGGGTGGATGAAGGGATGATTTCTGGTCTTGTCCTTGTCCTCTTACCTGTGAAGATAAACTTGTAATTGACATTGTTAGGGTGAGATTGAACAGAACTCAGTTTCGGGGCTAGCTTATAGGGGGGATATGTATCCTATAAGATTTAGGGCTCACACAGAATTTCCTTGTGAGCAATTTGTGAAGAAGGCCATCTGGGGAGATATGTGGCCTCCTATCTTTGTGGGAACCTGGCTTATGTATGACGTTATGACACAGGGTTTTGAAATTACAGCTATTTGAGAACAAAAGAAAGGCAGTATTGCATGACTCAGTTCCCAAGCTTAACTTTCCCTTTGGCATAGTGAGTTTAGGGTCCTGCGATTTTGTTTTCTTTCACAGTGGAAAGGAAGGGAAGGCTGCAGGTGCACCCTGATGGGAGTCTGTTGGCATGGCGAAGCCCTAGGTGAGCTAATTAGGGGCAGGGTGTCCCATGGAATTGGCTAGGGATGCATATTTGGTTTTCTCTGGTTGGTCCTAAAATTAAAGTGAAGACAAAAATTAGGGGAGCTGTCAGTTATTAATCAAGTCCTGGTCATTGTGGGCCAACTGTTATGGATATTATTATTTAACTTCCTGAATTGTTACTAGAGATAGCAGTCCGGCTTTCTATGAGTCTGACTTATAGCAGGCTGGCTTCCGGTTGTTTATTGTAGATAAAGGGGTTGGGTTCCTGGCAGGTAGCTGCAAGCTGTGAGTCATAGTTCTATTTATATATCATGTGGCCATTGTCCATTTGTATATTTAGTCTCTTGGGAGAAAAAAGCCGAAAAGGAGATTGAAAGGAGCAGCTAGAGAGAGGAGGGAAACTAAGACAATATCATCATCCCAGAACTTAGGAAGATAAAGTCCCAACAAGAAAGGGGTGGTTCACTGAAGCAAATGCTGCTAAAATGTCTGATAAGATGAGGATGTCAAAGTAGGTGAAGCTTTTCCAGGTGAAAAAGAGACGTAGCCATCATTGTTGCTGAATTCTCAGACACAGGAAACATTTTCCTGTGGCTTCAGGCAATGGTGAAATAGGAACTAACAGGGTCAGCTAGGAAGAGAAACTTTTAATGCCTCTAGGGGGCACAGCATATCATACCTAACAACTGAGCAGCAAATACCGTCCCCTACTCTCCAGACGCATTTTCCAGCCCAACATGGGATTCTTAGATTGGTTAGATGGCAGCATCTGAGACCACAATTAACCTGAAATCCAAGCTCAGGCACTTGCAGCTCCAAAGCCTCACACTCGATGCTCCGAGTTTAGGGACTTCTATCAAGTAAATTGGGAAATGGGTCGTTCTCCTTTGAAGACTGTTAGGAAAGAGGGACAAAAACGGAAAAAAAAAAAAATCAATCCCTGAGTTTAATCTCCAGTATTCCTTCCCAGAAACTTTAAGTTAGCTACAAGAATGTTAATCATGAGCAGAAATTGTTTAATAATCAAATTATCATAAATTTGCTTTTCTTTTACCTTAGTAAGGTAACTATGTGACAAACATTTGTGAAGTTGAGAATAGATAAAAGTACCCATCATATGATCTAGCCATCCCACTGTTGGACATATACCCAAAAGAAAGGAAATCAATATCTTGAGGAGATATCTGCACTTCCATGTTTTTTGCAGCACTGTTTACGATAGTTAAGATTTGGAAGCAACCTAAGTGTCCATCAACAGATGAATGGATAAAGAAAATGTGATACATCCACACAATGCAGTACTATTCACCCCTTAAAAAGACTGAGATCCTGTCATTTACAACAACATGGATGGACATGGAAGACATCATGTTAAGTGAAATAAGCCAGGCACAGAAAGACAAACATTGCATGTTCTCACTTATTTGTGAGATCTAAAAATCAAAATAATTGAACACATGGATATAGAGAGTAGAAGGATAGTTATCAGAGGCTGGGAAAGCTATTCGGGGGCTGGTGGGTGGGTGGGGAGAGATGGGGATGGTTAATGCATGCAAAAAATAACTAGAAAGAATGAAGAAGACCTACTGTTTGAGAACACAACAGGGTGCCTATAGTCAATAAGAAGTTAATTGTACACTTAAAATAACTAAAAGAGTATACTTGGATTGTTTGCGACACAAAGGATAAATGCTTGAGGGGGTGAATACCCCTTTCTTATGATGTGCTTATTTCACATTGCATGCTTGCATCAAAACATCTCAGGTTCTCCATAAATATATACACCTATTATGTACAAAAATTAAAATTATTTTTAAAAAGTGCCAAGAAACTCTGTACCCTAACATAGCCCTGTTAGAATTACTTAGCACTAATAGTTGCCTTTGCTGAGTGATGCAAGCAGATGTCTCTGGCCCTCAAAGATGAGGAGACACTGCTGCTCTGCTTGGTGTGAACATAAACTCCAGTTCTTCTGGGAACTGCCTTAAAGACAGCAGAAACTGGAGAGCAGAGAAAAGTGGAAAGTGGCCAGGCACGGTGGCTCACACCTGTAATCCCAGTACTTTGGTAGGCCGAGGCAGGCAGATCATGAGGTCAGGAGTTCGAGACCAGCCTGACCAACATGGTGAAACCCCGTCTCTACTAAAAATACAAACATTAGCCAGATGTGGTGGTAGGTGCCTCTAATCCCAGCTACTTGAGAGGCTGAGGCAGGAGAATTGCTTGAACCTGGAAGGCTGAGGTCAGTGAGCCGAGATCTTGCCACTGCACTCCAGCTTGGGCAACAAGAGCAAAACTCCTTTTCAAAAAAAAAAAAAAGTGGAAAGCATAACCTTGCTTGATGGTGAGGTTGAATCCCCACCTTCGCCTTTCTCAGATTTATTCCCATCTTCCTACTCCTCCAACCCCTATGTTGGCTCAAGCCCAGATGGCTCTCACCTGCATTAACCTAACCATCTCGTAACCCATCTCCTCTCTTTGTTCCTTTCCTATGCACCCTCCACATGGCCAGCTGCCAGAGGATCTTTCAAAATGACTAATCTTACTATTCTTCTCCTCTACAAAGCTTCAGAGGCTTCCAGTCTGGACTCCTTAACAACACATAAAAAATTCCTCTTCTGTTCTTCCTCTGGCTGGTGGCTCTCAACCTTGGCTGCACTTGAGGATCCTGGGGAGCTTTAAAAACTGCCCTGCTCTGGTTTAGTCAGTCTGGGCTGGGTCCCAGGTGTCTAGAGTTTTAGTTTTGTTTCCCAGGACCTGGTGACTCCTTGAACTATTTGCAGATTCCTGAACCCCTGTCGGAGAGTAAGCTGTGTTCTAATCTCATCAGATCTAAGGAGAGATGTAGGAACTTGCCTTGAGGCTTGAATTCTTTCTCCTACTCTCCACTTGTGGTAGTCAGTCTTTTGCATTTAAGGGTCAAAAATAAGAAGGCCTATTGTGTTTCCAAGGCTGGGGTCCATAGTGCATACGATAGGTTTCAGAGGGAGAGATGGCAGTGGAGATGGGGAAAGAAAATGTGGAAACCTGAGTCTAGGATGTTGCTTGCTAAGTGTACTAGAATATGCCACCCCAAATATGCCTCTTTGGCATATAATTATTTTGAGCTGAAGGCTATTGAGAACCAGCAGATGCACGAAAGGTCTAAAAACAGAGTCTAAGTTTTCCTTTTGTAAAGGATTGTAGAGGTGTCTCCTTCTCCCAGGAAGAAGACTCTTAACTACTCATCAGAGGAGAAAGGGCAGACTTAATTCTGCACAACAAATCTTACTAAACACCTCTTGTTTACCATCCTTTTCCTGGTTAACTTCTCATAAGTTGCCTCCCCTACACAGAAGCCCCAACCCCTTCTTTTTTGTTTTAGCCTAAGATGGTATTTAACCCCCAGTCTAACCACCCCTTTGGGTTACTCACCTCTTAGTGTTCCTGTGTGTACACAGACAACGAACTTGTAAGTAGACTTGTTTTTCTCTTGTTAATCAGTCTTTGGCCAGTCTAACTTATAAGGTTTCAGTTGGAAAACCTAAGATGGGTAGAGGAAAAGATTCCCCTGCAACACACTTATATTATGAAACCAAACTGGATACCAAGCAAGGAGGATCGGGCATCTAACACTTAACTCCTGACCTCCACAATAGCTTGCAGGTAAGGGTTTTTTTTTTTTTAATATATATATGTATTTTTATTTAAGTTCTAGGGTACATGTGCACAATGGGCAGGTTTGTTACATATGTATACATGTGCCATGTTGGTGTGCTGCACCCATTAACTCGTCATTTTTTTTGTTTTGCTTTTTGTTTTGTTCTGTTTTTTTTGAGACGGAGTCTCGCTCTGTCGCCAAGGCTGGAGGGCAGTGGCACAATCTTGGCTCACTTTAAGCTCCACCTCCTGGGTTCAAGTGATTCTTCTGCCTCAGCCTCCTGAATAGCTGGGACTTCAGGTGCCTGCCACCACACCCGGCTAATTTTTGTATTTTTAGTAGAGACGGGGTTTAACCATGTTGGCCAGGATGGTCTCAAACTCCTGACCTCAGGCAATCCACCCGCCTCGGCCTCCCAAAGTGCTGTGATTATAGGCATAAGCCACTGTGCCCGGCCACAGGTAAGGGTTTTAAAGGCAGGAGGCAGAGGTTACAGGCAAAATAAGAAATCATGGAGGTTATACATTGGTTTAACCTAGAAAGGTGGAACATCTTGAAGTGGGCCCACAGGTCATAGGTGAGGCAAAGCTTTGTCTAAAACTGTGGGATCAGTAGAAAAGAATGTCAGCTCTGGCTCATGGGTGTGACTTCCTCCAGGCTCCCCAGGGAGAAATTTAGAACAAAGAATGGCAGTCAGAATTCAGTCCTCAATTCCTCTTTATCTGAAGTCTATGTGTCAGTGGATCCATTTGGTGGATCCATTGGTGGGGGTCCAGGTTTCTGAAACAACTCTGGGACATATGTTAATGGCACAGGACTTTTTTGGGGTGCCACTTCACCAGCCAGAGACCTCTGCAGCTGGCTGCACCCCTGCCTGGGCCTCACTCAGCTCTGAGCTGGCCTCTGGCCTTGCTCCATCCAGTTGGCCCAGCAGGCTGCACCCAGCTCACCCTACCAGCCACCACAGGTGAGCCAGGTGTGGAGTGGCAAGTTTGCAGGGTCCAGTTACTGTGCACAGTCAGGTGCATCAGCTGCTGCAATGGAATGAGCAGCTCCAGGTGCTGGCATCCAGACTAGGGGAACACAGTGGCACCCAAAAACTTGGAGATGCCAGCACCTGTGAAGCCCCAAAGGGGGTGTTACATCATGTCACAGCACTGGCTCCAGAAGCTCTGAGGTCTAGATGTCCAGAAGGGTTGCAGCTCTTTTCTCCTTCCCGCCACTCACAGTGCAGAAAATGGGGGTATGTTAACAGCTCATTCAGTCCTGCTGCCCTGCTCTAGCTTGTGGCTCCTGGGAAGGCCCGGCCCTGCTGCCATTTCCCATCACGTGGGACGGATGCCCAGCACTGGCGGAGGGTGGGAGGGCTACAGTGTTACAGCAGCTACTTTTGCACCCACTGTTTGGTGGGTCCTGGGTTCTTGTCCCATGTCCATGAAGAATGAGATTATGCTGACAACTGGAGAGTGAGCAAGGCAGAGAAGAGCTTTATTGAGCAACAAAACAGCTCTCAGCAGAGAGGGGAGCTGAAGGTAGGTAGTCTCAATGTGTGGCTGAGTCTCTCCAGTTTTTATGGGCTCAGAATGTGGGAGGTGTCAGCTATCCATAGCCTTGGAAAAGGCAACACTTGATTGGTTAAAAAGCATTATTCAGAAAGAACCAATTGGGAAAGAGCAGGCAAATGAAAATAGAAGTTCTCATTCTGGTCATGGACTCCATCCAGAACTGACAGCCTGGTTTTCAGGCTTCAGGCTGTCTTTGGCTTGGAGGTTGGGTTTCATGGGGGACCCACCCCAATCTGCCTGGGAATTTGTCTGTCTCCTGCTGCTATCTTTAAGATGCTATCTTTGGCTGGGCATGGTGGCTTACGACTGTAATCTCAATACTTTGGGAGACTGTGGTAGGCAGATTGCTCGAGCCTAGTAGTTTGACCAGTGTGGGCAACATGACGAAACCCTGCCTCTACAAAAAAAAAAAAAAATACAAAAATTAACAAGTTGTGGTGGCATGTGCCTGTGGTCCCAGCTACTGACAGAGCTGAGATGGGAGGATTGCTTGAGCCCTCAGATCAAGGATGCAGTGAGTCATGATTGCACCACTGCACTCCAGCCTGGGCAACAGAGTGAGACCCTGTCTCAAAACAAAACAAAATCAAACAAACAAAAAAAGATGTTATCTTTAGTTTTTACAGGGAGCCAAACATCCCATGATTCTCACTTCCATGATTATTGTTTTAAGCTACTATTACTCTCTTGCTTATCAAGTTGTTCATTTACTTCTCAGGCTAGCTAGGTGCCTGGAATTTCCCTTTAAGAAACTCAAGATTTTTTAATTCCTCTGTTTGGTGCTGGGGAGACCAGGCCCCTAAGAGGGGTCCCTGCTCCATCTCATTTGTAAGAGCTTATGAGACAGCCGCTCCAGGGCTGGCCAGTAGCTCAGGAGGAGGAAGAGTCAGTGGCAGGGAAAGGGAGGTCCAGCTCGCCTGGGAGATAGGAGCTCTTCCAGCACTGGGCTGGGAAACCATTCTCTGGCAGCCCTGCCACTCAGTGGACCCTCAACTTCTCCTTAATTTCCTAGGCAGTATAAGGGTAAGTACAAGTAAAAAGAAATTGAATTTTCCCTGGTGCCAAAAGGCAAAGAGAAGTCCCTCCCTCCCTTTTCTTAGAGTATTTCCTTTATAATCCTTTCTCTGTCTCTTTGGGAGGTATATAAACCTTTCTGAAAGCTAAACAAGCCCTTTGCCACTTTGGCTTCCCAGGAATGTGCTTCTCGGGGGCCTCGGAGCCATCTCTTTGAAATGTGAACATTAAGATGGATGGTGCCCTGTCTCCTGTCTCTCTGGGAGCTTTGCCTAGGAGTCTGGCTACAAGTTGTAGCATATGAGAGTTTTCTTCTTCCTTTGGATGAGTGCAATTAACACATATGTAATAGATTCTATCTGCCTGGCTATGTAAGAGGGTGATACATTTTTTCTGTCTTTGCAATTTCTTTAGTGGATTGCTTTTGATGTGTGTTGCAATCTGGTTTAATGCATATGTAATAATAACACTTTTTTTCATTTCGTATATTTTTGGACAGGTTTTCTAGATTGGCAGATTTTATTTTAAATTTCCGCAACAGCAGCAAGTCCTAGCATACCTCAACATCATCCCAGGAACACCCCACCCTTGGGGAGGAAATATGCCAGAGATAGGAAGGGCCACTTCTAAATACAAGAGAGTCATCAGGCACCTGTCAGGAGGGAGAGTATCCAGTCTCTAGAGATGGAAATGTCAACCTAAAAGGAAGAAGCAAAGGCAGAATTAATATAGAGAGTTTATTTGGGCCAAGGTTGAGAGCTGCAGCCATGGATGCACTTCCAAGTTGCCTTGGGGAGTGCTCTGGAGGACAAAGAAGAGCCTCAAGTTTTTAAAGAAAAAAGGAAGAATCATGAGAGAAGCAATTACGAAAGCTGCTCATCAGGAATTTTCATTAGTTTACAGAAATAACATTGGTTAGTGATTGGCTATACATTGTTGCAACTTGGCATTCATCTGCAGCCCACATAGCAAGTGGCTTCAAGAGGTCATTATTCAGTTCCAGGGAGAGTGAGACCTGATTGTGGTCACATTTTAAATGCCTTTCTGGGCCTGATGATTTAAAGGGCTCACATTCCTCAGATAAAGGTTTTTTTTCTTTCTCAGATTGAAGTATTCTGGTGCACTCAGCCTTTGGACAGAAAGGAGTGGAGATTCTCATTACATATGGGTGCTTGCCTTAGTTGTTTTAAATTTATGTGCAACCAGGCTGTTTCTCCCATATAAAAGCACCCCTAAACGGCTGGGCGCGGTGGCTCACTCCTGTAATCCCAGCACTTTGGGAGGCTGAGGTGGGTGGATCACAAGGTCAGGAGTTCGAGACCAGCCTGGCCAACATAGTGTAACCCCGTCTCTGCTAAAAACACACACACACACACACACATAAAAATTAGCTGGGAGTGGTGGTGGGTGCCTGTAATCCCAGCTACTACGGAGGCTGAGGCAGGCGAATTGCTTGAACCTGTGAGGTGGAGGTTGCAGGGAGCCGAGACTGTGCCACTGCACTCCAGCCAGGGCAATAGTCCGAGACTCCATCTTAAAAAAAAAAAAAAAAAAAAAAAAAAGGCACCCCTAACAAGAGCCAACAGTCTCTGTTGAGACCTTCCTACCCTTCAAGAGAACACCAAATTGGTTGATGAACATAGTGGAGAGGAACGGGGATCTCCATCATTGGGACCAAGAGAGGCTGTGAAACATGATAAACGCTGGTCTAGAACAGTATGGAGAGGCACATGTAGTAGCGGGTTCAACTAGCAAAGAGAAGACAGCGTCCTTTGCAATTTTATGTGAGTCCTTCCAATCAGATGACCTTACAGAGGTTTTAAGTTTAGGTTTTGTTTTTTTTTTGAATTTGTGATGACTTTTTGGAGTTTGGCTCAACTGTCTTGTAGAACATCCCTCATTCTAGCTTTGTCAGACAGCTTCGTCAGGGCCTCCTTGACTTGTCCTTCTCTCCTCTGTATTTCCTGTAACTGGATGTGGATCTAAAGGCTGAACTGGGCTCATGAGAAGAATCCTTCACAGGTGTGATGGTTAATACTGAGTGTCAACCCGATTGGATTGAAGGATACAAAGTATTGATCCTGGGTTTGTTTGTGAGGTTGTTGCCAAAGGAGATTAACGTCTGAGTCAGAAGGGTGGGAAAGGCAGACCCACTCTTAATCTGGGTGGGCACCATTAGCTGCTAGTGCAGCTAGAATATAAGCAGGCAGAAAATGTGAAAAGAGACTGTCCCAGCCTCCCAGCCTACATCTTTGTCTCGTGCTGGATGCTTCCTGCCCTCAAACATCGGACTACAAGTTCTTCAGTTTGGATCTCCCTGCTCTCAGAGACTGGCTCTCCTTGCTCCTCAGCCTGCAGATAGCTTATTGTGGGACCTTGTGATTATGTGAGTTAATACTTAATAAACTCATATATATATATTCATTCCATTAGTTCTGCCCCTCTAGAGAACCCTAACTAATACAACAGATGGATCCCATCAGGACACATGATGACAGCCCATCCCTGCTGGCATTGCTCACTTTGATAATTTAGGGAAGGTGACAGTCACCGTATCTTTCATAGTAAACGTGCATTTTCCTTCTCAAAATTAGTAAATACTGTAATTTGTTGAATTATACTTTGACATCCTGTTCCTCAACAACCTTTCACCCAATAAGGTTTGGCATCCACTGAAGGTGCTTCCCTGAATCTATTTCTTCTTTGAGGGTTGCAATAAATGTATATCTTTTTTCTACATTTATTGGAGGAAGTCTTCCCTAAAGAAGAGTTCTCTTTTCTCTCTCTGTTCCTTTTTCTTTTTTTTTGAGTATCACTGTGAATTCATGGATTTCTTTATAACTCAATGTCAACTGCCATCATTATTATTTCTGATACTTAATCTCAATTTGGCCGGTGGGACCCTCTTCAAGCTGCCTCTGCTGTTCGTTTGACATGATCCCATTAGTCCGTGATTTCCTTATTTTCTGGTACAATAAGGTGTCCTAGGCTCAACTTGTAATTTACCTGCTTTTGACTTGTAATCAGCCGGTTCAATGAGGATCCCTGGTTCCCTTTCCTGGGGAATGGTACTTAGATACCAAGTTCAAGGCATGAGGTGTGCCCATTGCTATTACAATGTTATGACTTCTAGGCTCTTTGACTGAAATTAATTACAGACACACACATACATACGTGTACTTATGAATTCACACTGACATTTCTTGTTTTTTTTTATTTCAATAGTTTTTGGGGAACTGGTCATGTTTGGTTACTTGGATAAGTTCTTTAGTGGTGATTTCTGATGTTTTGGTGAACCTGTCACCCAAGCAGTGTACACTGTACCCAATGTGTAGCCTTTTTTTCCCTCAACCCCCTCCCACCCTTCCCCCTGAGTCCCCAAAGTCCATTATATCATTCTTATGCCTTTGCGTCCTCATAGCTTAGCTCCCACTTATAAGTGAGAACATACAATGTTTGGTTTTCTATTCTTGAGTTACTTCACTTTGAATAATGGTCTCCAACTCCATCCAGGTTACTGTTGCTGTGAATGCCATTATTTTGTTCCTTCTTAAGGCTGAGTGGTATTCCATGGTGTATATATGCCACATTTTCTTTGTCCACTCATTGGTTGATGGGCATTTAGGCTGGTTCCATATTTTTGTAATTGTGAATTTTGCTGCTATAAACATGCATGTGTAAGTGTCTTTTTTGTATAATGACTTCTTTTCCTCTGAGTAGGTCCCCAGTAGTGGAACTGTTGGATCAAATGGTAGTTCTACTTTTAGTTTTTAAAGGAATTTCCGCACTGTTTTCCATAGTGGTTGCAGTAGTTTGCATTCCTACCAGCAGTGTAAGTGTTCCTTTTCACCACATCTATGCCAACATCTGTTATTTTTTTATTTTTTAATTATGGCCATTCTTGCAGGAGTAACGTGGTTCTCATTGTGGTTTCGATTTGCATTTCCCTGATAATTAGCGATGTCAAGCTTTTTTTATATGTTTATTGGCCATTTGTATTTCTTCTTTTGAGAATTGTGTATTCATTTCCTTTGCCCACTTTTTTGAGGGTATTATTTTTTGTTTTGTTTTGTTTTGTTGCTGATTTGAGTTCCTTGTAGATTCTGGATATTAGTTCTTTGTTGGATGAATAGTTTATGAAGATTTTCTCCCCCTCTGTGGGTTGTCTGTTTACTCTGCTGATTGTTTCTTTTGTTGTGCAGAAGCTATTTAGTTTAATTAGGTCCCATATATTTATCTTTGTCTTTGTTACATTTGCTTTTGGGTTCTTGGTCATGAACACTTTGCCTAAGCCAATGTCTAGAAGAGTTTTGCCAATGTTATCTTCTAGAATTGTTATGGTTTCAGGTCTTAGTTTTAAGTCTTTGATCCATCTTGAGTTGATTTTTGTATAAGGAGACAGATGAGGATCCAGTTTCATTCTTTTACATGTGGCTTGCCAATTATCCCAGCACCATTTGTTGAACAGGGTGTCCTTTCCCCACTTTATGTTTTTGTTTGCTTTGTCGAAGATCCATAGGCTGTAAATATTTGGCTTTATTTCTGGGTTCTCTATTCTGTTCTACTGGTCTACATGACTATTTTTATACAAGTACCATGCTGTTTTGGTAACTATACCCTTATAGTATAGTTTGAAGTCAGGTAATATGATACCTCCAGATTTGTTCTTTTTGCTTAGTCTTGTTTCAGCTATGTGGGCTCTTTTTTTGTTCCATATGAATTTTAGGATTTTTTTTTCTAGTTCTGTGAAGAATGATGATGGTATTTTGATGGGAATTGCATTGAATTTGTAGATTGCTTTTGGCAGTCTGGTCATTTGCACAATATTGATTCTACCCATCCATCAACATGAGATGTGTTTTCATTTGTTTGTGTTGTCTAAGATTTCTTTCAGCAGTGTTTTGTAGTTTTCCTTGTAGAGATCTTTCACCTCCTTGGTTAGGTATATTCCTAAGTACTTTATTATTATTATTATTGCAGCTTTTGTAAAAGGGGTTGAGTTCTTGATTTGATTCTCAGCTTGGTCATTGTTGGTATATAGCAGTGTTACTGATTTGTGTACATTGATTTTGTATTCCGAAACTTTACTGAATTCATTTATCAGATCTAGAAGCTTTCTGGATGAGTCTTTAGGGTTTTCTAGGTATACAATCATATCACTGGTGAACAGCAGTTTGACTTCCTCTTTATTGATTTAGATGCCCTTTATTTCTTTTTCTTGTCTTACTGCTCTGTCTAGGACTTCCAGTACTATGTTGAATAGAAGTGGTGAAAGTAGGCATCCTTGTCTTGTTCCAATTCTCAGGGGGAATGATTTCAACTTTTCCCTATTCAGTATAATGTTGGCTGTGGGTTTGTCATAGACGGCTTTTATTACCTTAAGGTGTGTCCCTTCTATGCCAATTTTGCTGAGGGTTTTAATCATAAAAAGATGCTGGATTTTGTCAAATGCTTTTCCTGCATCTATTGAGATGATCACATGATTTTAGTTTTTAATTCTGTTTATGTGATGTATCACATTTATTGACTCATGTATGTTAAACCATCCTTGCATCCCTTGTATGAAACCCACTTGATCATGGTGTTTATCTTTATACATGATGATATATCTTTATATCTTAATACACTACTTGATCATGGTGTATTATCTTTTTTGATATGCTGTTGGATTCGGTTAGCTAATATTTTGTTGAGGATTTTTGCACCTATGTTCATCAGGGATATTGGTCTGTAGTTTTTCTTTTTGTTATGTCCTTTCCTAGTTTTGGCATTAGGATGATACTGGTTTCACAGAATGATTTAAGGATGAGTCCCTCTTTCTCTATCTTTTGGAATAGTTTCAGTAAGATTGGTACCAATTCTTTGAATAGCTGATAGAATTTAGCTGTGAATCCATCTGGTCCTGGACTTTTTTTTTTGTTGGGAATTTTTGTATTATTGTTTTTATCTTGCTACTTGTTATTGGTCTGTTCAAAGTTTCTGTTTATTCCTGATTTAATATAGGAGGGTTGTATATTTCCAGGAATTTATCCATTCTTCTACATTTTCTAGTTTGTGTGTGTAAAGGTATTCATAGTAGCCTTGCATGATCTTTTGTATTTCTGTGGTGTCAGTTGTAATAGCTTCTGTTTTGTTTCTAATTGAGCTTATTTGGATC